>NW_003315971.2:0-162811 GCF_000001405.40 Homo sapiens
TGGCTACATGCGCCTGGTGGTACGCGAGTTGGAGAGCCAGTTGCAGGACGCACGCCAGAGCCTGGCTTTGCAACGCCGCTCATCCTGGAAGTCTGTTGCCAGCCGCTGTAAGCCCCAGGCTCCTAACCACCGAGCTGCGGGCCTGGAGAATGGCCACTGCCTCTCCAAGGACAGCAGCCCTGTGGGCTTGGTTGAAGAAGCGGGCAGCAGGTCTGCAGGGTGGGGGTTGGCTGAGTGGGAGCTGCAGGGCCCTGCCAGCCTCCTCCTAGGCAAGGGGCAGAGCCCTGTGTCCCCTGAGACCTCCTGCTTCTCTACCCTGCATGACTGGTATGGCCAGGAGATCGTGGAGCTGCGGCAGTGTTGGCAGAAGAGGGCCCAGGGGAGCCACTCAAAATGTGAGGAACAGGATAGGCCCTAAGTCTGGGCCCTTTGAGTCAGGAAACCAGGGCCAGTTCTTTTTCAGGAGTTAAATGTTTACCCATTTCCAAGGTTGCGTTTTGGGAGGGGACATGGGTTCTCTCCTTCCTGCTATTTAGGCATTCTCCAGGTTCGAGATCCACCCGTGTGTCTGGAAGGGACTGCGGGACCATTCCTTCCATCCTCTTTATTTCCTGAGGTCCAGAGAAGGAAGGAGACTTAGCAGCCACAGAGCAAGACCCCAATCTCCTGACTGCACTGGCCTGACTGCCCCCTCCCAGGGGATGTTAATGAAATGAAGGAAGTGGGGAATGTCACCCGAGACTGTCACAGGCTTGCCATACCTTTGGCCTACACACCGGGCTCTAGAGCCATAATTTCCAACCTGGGGAGTCTCCTGTGCACTTAAATCCGAGGTAGGCTGCAGTATCGGCTTGAAGCTCTGACACTGTCAGAGAAAGTGGATTTATTGTGTCATAGGAGTTTCTGGGACCCAGCTCTTCCTGAGAGGGGTGGGAAGATTGGGGATGGGATCCTCACTCAGCAGTCTGGGTAGGGCCCTTTGAGGCAGAGGGTCTTCGGCCAGTGAAGAGAGATTTATTCTGCTCAGAGTGCTGGGGTCCCATCCTTTCTCCCTGGCTGCCCTGTTAACAGATGGTGCTGGACCTTGCCCCGGAAGGGGCTTGTAGCTTTTTTACGTCAACGAAATGCCCTCCTGTACTCTGTCTTCAGCAGCCAACTCCTGGAGCTGCCAAGTGAGGGGTTAAAGAAGAGGTGGGGAGGCAGTGTGGCTCCCTGGGAAAAGTCTGTTGCTTTGGTTCTCAGTCCTGGGTATTCTAGGAGCTTGGACACGGGATTGCGTTTCCTGTGCTAAAATTCTCTCTCCTGGCTGGGCTCCGGTAAACTGAAGCTGCTCGAGAAATCACCTGGGAACTCTCATAGCCGTTTGTCACCCAGGGTGTACTTGCCAGGACCTCTCCTTGCTACTCTTCCCAAAGTCGGGAGGCAAAGCGGCTGGGTCACCAGAGCCTGACCATACTGACGCTCCAGGGGGAAGACGCAGAGGCCGGGAAGAGACACCCCCTCCCAAACACATAAAACTTGCCCCTTCCTAGCCTCGGCTCCCCTCACTGGGGCCTTGGGCAGGACCGACCCGCATCCAACTAGGCCTAAGGGGTAGGCTCTGAGCCTCTTACCCCTAAGAGGCGGAGATGCGCCCAAGGCGGGCGCCCGGCCTGTTCCCCAGCCCTGCCTGGAAGCCCCGCAGCCACTGCATTTTGTTTAAACACAGATAGCACGGGCCTTTCTCTTATTGCTACAGTGTTTTGTACACGGTTAAAACACTAGTAAAGCTTTTTCGTTATTACTCCTTCCGCTCCCTGGGTTTATTTCCACAACCGGCCGCTGAGGCCTGTTCTGACGGCCGGGCGGACCCAAGACCGCGGCCACGCCCAGCAGGACGCGGACTGAGGGAGCCGGGGCTGCGCCGCCACTCTCGTGACGCCACCATGCCGGCCAGTGACAAACACCTCCCTCCCGCCGCCCCAGGAGCCGCCGGCACTGCGCGAGTGGGAGGGCTGGGCTTCTCGTGTACTCCTCAAACTCTCGCGAGGCTTCGGGCGGCTTTCTTCCCGAGGGCGGCACGAGGGCTGGGCGGTGGGGTGCGGGTGCCCGGGTGAGGGGCGGAGCTGGGGGCATGGCGTCCGGAGCGGCTCGCTGGCTAGTATTGGCACCCGTCAGGTCCGGGGCTCTCCGGAGCGGGCCTAGCTTGAGGAAAGATGGCGATGTCTCCGCCGCATGGAGCGGCTCAGGCCGGAGCCTGGTACCGTCGAGGTCAGTCATCGTTACCCGCAGCGGCGCCATTTTGCCCAAACCGGTGAAAGTGAGTGTCCTCCTGGAGACGGGGCGAAGGGGCTGAGGCCAATCATTGTGGGGAGTGCGTGAGGGCGGCGCTGATTGATAGGAGCCAAGGCCAATCATAACGATTACCGTAGACTGGAAGGCGGACCAAGAATACGCTAATGAGTTGCTAATTTTGACAGGTGTGTAGAAAATGGTAGGTAGACAGAAGATGGGGGGCAAACGCTGAGGAAGTTGGCCTTTTACATTAGCTTGTCCTGAGAGGTGCGGTGCTCTGCTCCTCTGGAGTCAGAAGACTAGGCCGTGTGCTTCTAGCTTAGAGCAGTCCTGTAATCTCTGCCCTGCCTGTCTCCTAGTTTATGGGATGAAATATGAATTTTGAAAGGACTCTGTAAATAAAGGGTACGTGGGACGGGCCTCATCTTTTTATTAGTTGTCACCTAATATTTAATTCATGTGATTTACAGTCCTGATAGATGTGCAGGGAATTATTACAATCACGGGTTTTCAAATGAAGAATCGGGCTAGAGCGGTGAAGCTCGTATCCAAGGCCAGCGCTGAGGACGCAGCATCCGGGTTTCTTCCTGGTACCGTCCCCACCAGGTCCTGTCTTTTTCCAACACTGAACGCTATCACATGCTTGAGTTTTTCTAGGGAAAACGGAAACAGTCCCTTATATCAAGCGAAAGTTTGCTTTACGACTGCAGGGCTGTGTGGTGTGGGAGTTAAAAAAACAAATTCTCTTAAAGCTAGTCTAGCCTATGCTAACTCACACAATTGACTGTAGGTCCATGTTGGGAAAGACCTGCCTTATCAAAACAGTTGAAAAAAAAATTTTTTTAATTCTAGGAATACGAGAGAAATGTTGCTGAGATTTTACTGACATTCTCCCAATCCATCTAAAGTCTTTGAGTGTAAATACATGCCCACTTTCAAATACATCTGTTTCTAAAATTTTTAAATCAAATTTCTCAGGCATCAGGGAACCTGTTACTTAGTGAACTGTGTAGAATATCCCTTCACTGTACATCTTTCTGTCATCGGTTTTCGTGTATTTCGTGTTCAGGCAGAGCTCACCGTAGTCTGGCCCTCCTAGTACTGGTGCACCCGATTGCCTGTAGGGATTTAAAGTAATTAGCAGGCTGTGTCCTAACTTTAGATGTCTAGGGTGCCTTAGACTTTTCTTTCCAGTGGACTTTTCGTCCATTTTGATGGCCATAACAGTCACCTTATCTCCTTTTTTTTTTTTTTGAGACGGAGTCTCACTCTGTCACCCAGGCTGGAGTACAGTGGCACAATCTTGGCTCACTGCAGCCTCCGCCTCCCGGGTTCAAGTGATTCTTCTGCCTCAGCCTTCTGAGTAGCTGGGACTACAGGCATGTACCACCACACCCGGCTAATTTTTTGTATTTTTAGTAGAGACGGGGTTTCACTATGTTAGCCAGGCTGATTTCGAACTTCTGACCTCGTGATCCGCCCGCCTCAGCCTCCCAAAGTGCTGGGATTACAGGTGTGAGCCACTGCGCCCGGCCTTTTGTCTTTTTTTTAGACAGAGCCTCACTCTGTCTCCCAGGCTGGAGTGGAATGGTGCAATCTTGGCTCACTGCAACTTCTGCCTCCTGGATTCAAGCAATTATCCTGCCTCAGCCTCCCGAGTAGCTGGGATTACAGGTGCGCACCACCATGCTGGGTCAATTTTTTGTATTTTTAGTAGAGACGGGATTTCACCATGTTGGCCAGGCTGGTCTCAAGCTCCTGACCTCAGGTGGTCCACCCACCTCAGCCTCCCAAAGTGCTGGGATTAAAGGTGTGAGCCACCCTGCCTGGCCTTCTCCTTTTCTAATTACTTTTCTTGCCCTGAATTTTTCCAAGGACTTTAAAATCAAGTTGCTTATGATGGGTCTGAGGGTATGTCTGTGAGAGGGCCAGGTCTTCTTTGGTCCTGCCAGAGTGGGCTCTGGAGCTCACAGCTGCCACTCTGACCCTCTGCAGATGTCCTTCGGCCTTCTCCGTGTGTTCTCCATTGTGATCCCCTTTCTCTATGTCGGGACACTCATTAGCAAGAACTTTGCTGCTCTACTTGAGGAACATGACATTTTTGTTCCAGAGGATGATGATGATGATGACTAACAGGTAAGACTTGCTTTACCCTAGATGGAGCAGGAAGCAGGGTGGAGCATCTGTCTGTGATGCAGTCTGGCCTGGTAGCAGCATTTGGACACTGGGGGCAGAAGCATTAATGAATTGGCCCACTTGGTGGCTAATGTTTTCGTTTGTTTGTTTTTTGAGACGGAGTTTCGCTCTTGTTGCCCAGGCTGGAGTGCAATGGCATGATCTCGACTCACTGCAACCTCTGCCTTCCAGGTTCAAGCGATTCTCCTGCCTCAGCCTACCGGGTAGCTGGGATTACAGACATGCGCCACTGTGCCTGGCTAATTTTGTATTTTTAGTAGAGACGGGGTTTCTCCATGTTAGCCAGGCTAGTCTCAAACTCCCGACCTCAGGTGATCCACCCACCTTGGCCTCCCAAAGTGCTGTGATTACAGGCGTGAGCCACTGCGCCCAGCCAACTTCATGTGCTCTAATATGTGCTGCATGGCATTCTGTCAAGAGATGAGGACACTCCTGTTCCTTAGCCTGGCATTCAAGGCTTGCCATAATCTGGTCACACCTCTTATTCCAGTCTCATCTTCCATATTTCCAGCCACACACCGATTCCCAGTATTCACCATTTCTTGAGTTTTCACACTCATACCCACCCCCAAACATTGGCTCATTGTTCCTCCCACATGGAAGGCTCCTTCCCAGAGCTCTGGGTCTTAATTCCACCCATTCTACAGTGTCTTTGAAGTCTTCGTTCCTCCTTTCATTTGAAAGTTGACGGCTCCTTCCTCTAAGCAACCAGTACCTCTCTTCAAATACTCGGTATTATGTGGCTAAACACACACAAAGCAAAATTTTACTAGACTCTGAGCTTCTTGCTGGCAGGGGACGTTTTTTATACATTGCGGCCCCCAGTGCCTGGCCTGTGGTGAATGCCCAGTTAACGTGCGCATGAACAACCAAACGTGCTCAAAGCTGCCTTTCTCCTGCCATGTTTGATAGAAGCACTTTGTGGAATTCTTTCAGTCTGCGGATGGAAGACTACGCTGTTGCCCAGTTCACTGCTGCTTTCCTTTCTTACAGGAATTACAGAAAGGAGAAAGCACTAACTGAAGAAATGGTGATGCTCTCAGTTTCTCTGCCTTCCCTATCAGCAGAAAGGCTCGGGGAAGGCCCTCAGCCTCCCAGTCTGGTGAAGCTTCCTGTATGGTCCATGACCGTATTCCACCCCAGGCTCTGGGAGGCTCCCTGAGATGTGCTGTCCACTAAGCACTGCACAAACAAGCAATCAAATTATGAATAAACATAATAAATATCAGCCGTGCGTGACTGAGTGATGGCTGCAGTTTCTCAGTATCCCTAGGTTCTAGTTGGTGCAGTTGTCTCTGCTGTCCTTTATTTATGGGAGAAACATAGGCCCAGGCTATCCAGGCTGCAGTGGAGCCTGGTGAACTATTCTGGGGGCCCTGGGAACTATTTTCATTGTTTACAAAAGCCCAACAGAAACTGTGCATTTTCCCTTAAGAAAGCTTCATGGGCTAACTAAAGCCTCATGCCATTCTGTGTTCAGTGCCAGTCATGACAGCTCTGCTTGTTAGCATACTACTTAAATATAACTAGAATGATTCAAAACTCGGGTTCTGTGATATGAGGATATAGATAGGTTTTCATCTATTTCCTGGCTTATAACTCCCAAAACCCTTGTTTTAGGCTTTTGTTATAATGTTGGGCACTTCGGGCCTCAGAAAACAGCAGGCTGTTTCTCAGATCTTCTCCTGACCTCCTTTCACCTGCTGCTTTTTCTCCCCAAGGCAGGCCATAGAAACTAAAAGTATAATCTTCCTTTGCCCGTCTTCCAGTTGGCCATAAAAAGAATCCTCTGACCTACCTTGTCTGATTTTAGGTCATGAGACCCCCATTTCAGAAGGGATTCTGCCCCATACCTGAGAGGAAGAAATGTAGACAGGCCTTGTTGGACTTCCCCACTCCATCTGTATTAGATTATGCCTCTTTTGTCCAATCCCATTTCTCCAGTGTTGTCCATGCTTCAATCATCCCTATCCAATGAGGTCTCCATAAAAGGCCCAAGAAGACAGGTTTAGAGAGCTTTCGGAGAACAGAACACTTGGCTTTGCAAAGTGGCACGCCTGGAGAGAACTTGGAAGCTCCACGCCCCTTCTATACCTCACCCTATGCATCTCTTCAGCTGTATCTTTTGTGATATCCTTTATAATAAACCAGTAAACGGACCTAAGTGTTCCTCTGAGTTCTGCAAGCTGCTCCAGCAAATTAAAAAGAAGGGGTCAGCCAGGTGCGGTGGCTCACACCTGTAACCCCAGCACTTTGGGAGGCCAAGGCGGGCAGATCACAAGGTCAGGAGAGCGAGACCATCCTGGCTAACACAGTGAAACTCTGTCTCTATTAAAAAATAGAAGAAATTAGCCGGGTGTGGTGGCGGGCACCTGTAGTCCCAGCTACTCGGGAGGCTGAGGCAGGAGAAGAATGGCGTGAACCCGCGAGGCAGAGCTTGCAGTGAGCCGAGATGGCACCACTGCACTCCAGCCTGGGCGACAGAGTGAGACTCCATCTCAAAAAAAAAAAAAAAAAAAGAAGGGGTCATGGGAACTTGAAGCTCAGAAGTTCTGGAGGCTTGGACTTGTGAATGTTGTCTAATGGGGGTGGGAGCAGTCTTGTGGGACTGAGCCCCAAACCTGTGGAATCTGTTGCTATCTCCAGGTAGATAGTGTTCGAAGAGAATTGGAGGACAGGCAGCTGGTGTCTGCTGCAGAACTGACTGCTTGCTTAGTGTGGGGAGAAACCCTCATAACGTTTGATCACAGAAGTCTTATGTGTTTATTGTTATTGAGTGAGAGAACACAAAAACACCTTGAGTTTTTCCCTCAGGTTCCTTACGTGAAAAGATTATAAAGGGATCCTTGGTGCCATAAGGTTTGGGGCCATGCACAATGGCTGATGCCTGTAGTCCCAACACTTTGGGAGGCGGAGGCAGGAGGATCACTTGAGCCCAGGAGTTCAAGACTGGCCTGGGCGCGGTGGCTCACGCCAGCACTTTGGGAGGCCACGGCGGGTGGATTACTTGAGGTCAAGAGTTTGAGACCAGCCTGGCCAACATGGTGAAACTCCGTCTTTTCTAAAAATATAAAACTAGCTGGATGTGGTGGTCCATGCCTGTAATCCCAGCTACTTGGGAGGCTGAGGCAGGGAGAATTACTTGAACCAGGAGGTGGAAGGTGCAGTGAGCCAAGATCACACCAGTGCACTCCAGCCTGGGCAACAACAGCGAGACTCCATCTCAAAAAAAAGAAAAGAAAAAAAGACCAGCCTGGGCAATGGAGAGACGCCATCTCTATTTAAAAAAAAAAAAAAAGTATGGGAGTCCTCAGTGATCATACCTATAGATTCCAAACCCCTTCTCCATCATTTGGATTGCCCTGGGAAGCACAAGAGAAGACCACCATCCAAACAGAGATCAGTTCTTGAACCTGTGTTGATGTTTATTCTGCCACTGAGAGGTACACCAGGGTTTCCAAAGACAGTAGGAATATTTCTGTTCTCTGTGTATATTGAACAGCTGTGCACCTAAGCAGGGTGCCTGAGTAGGAAGTTAATTTCATTTTAAGGGCTGGAGCTTGTTACAAGTAGCGGAGCCAAGCCTTTGCACATCCATTTTCTTCAGAACCCAAGGAAAACTAGCCCATCTTGACAGCTCTACTTTTGCGCCTGTTAGTGCTGCCCTGATCCCTGACAGGAAGAGCTGGCTAATTTTAGATAATCTGTGCCCTGACACTGAAGTGTCTAATCATAGGGGCTATAGAAACAACTACATTAACAAGTCGTCCAGCCTCATGCCCAATGTCACAATTTTTGAACAGATGGCCTCCTTCCTTCCTGTTTACTGACATGCAAGGCTCTGAGAAAAATAATTCAATCCAATTTACAGCAAACACCACATTTCAAGAAAAGGGAAAGAACAGGTGATGTGTATACCAAGGTCCCACTTGCTCAGGCAAAAAGAGGCTGCAGAAAATTGGTTCATCAATGGAATTCTATCACAAAGTGACCATTGTATAGTGAGTTTATTTGTGCTCTAAAATAGTATCAACGTGCATCTTTCCACTGAATGACTTCATGGATCGTGGCCAACATAGAACTTGGATAGGAAATCCTTTGGCCTTGGCGCTTCTGTTTCATGGAAGAACCGCATAACATGTGTCCGCTGCTTCCATACTTTAATTGTTTCTTCCAGTTCGATCTTTCCCTGAACAGTGAGGAGAGAGGTCATCAGTCAAAGTTGTCAAGTTGAAGGCATATGACACTGAAGGCCAGGATTCTATTCTCTGCTCAGCATGGACTTGTTGAATGACCTTGGGCAAGTAACTACTCTGTCTGGGCAAAGTTTCTATGTCTGGACAATGAGGTGGTCAGGGTAAATCATTTCTGACACTTTTCAGATTCTTTAACTCTGTGGTTAACTGGTACCAAGAGGAGAAACATACAGGTTAACAGGCTCCTATCCCATGACTACCTAACCTGACTGGCTTAACTTATGTTTCTGCTTATCATTTCTTCTGTTACTGACTGGTCTATGCTGAAGCTCCCATTGATGCTAACGTGACTGGCCAGGGGGACAGAATCAGCCCCAGGATTTGAGTCCATTTATACAGGACTCATAACCACCCTAACTGCCTCTTCCAGCTGTAAACTGGCATTCAGATGAAGTGGTAACTTCTAGGGATGAGGTTCAAGAAGAGTTCAAACTTTCCTCCCTATATCTTTTTTTATGGTTATAAAATGCAAGTCCCAGTGGATGTTCCCTTGATGAATCTTATCTATTTAACCAGATGATAACCTCCAAGTTCAAGTATTTCTCTGAAACACAGCAATAATCACTGCCGAACCAGTAGCTGCTTTCTAAACTTGGAGACAAAATGTTCATTTGGAAAGACTAAGAAGTAGTGGACAAGTTGGCTGATCTTTTAAATTGGTCAGGGAGGGTCAGTTACCTTAATGACCAGAAGATCAACCACCCTGGGGTCTGTGACATGGGCATTCTTCATAAACATTTCTCGGACTTTATCCCGTCCCATTTTCACAGTGATGTCCAGCTGGAATTGGTGCACTAGAGAGAAAAACATGACTCAGGGTAGAAATTGTATGGTTAAATAAAACCTAGAGTCAAATGATACTCATTGAACACATACAGGTCGCCCATTCATTTCTTCACCAAAAAATTAGCCTGACCCTAGGCTAGGTGCTTGAGGATGAGACATGTGATTCATGGTATTTGCTCTCAAGGAACTTATTATTTGTTTGGGGAAAAAGACCACTGAATTTGAAGAGGCAGTAAAGCATTGTTCAAGAGTTTGAACAACCTGGGTTCAAATCCCAGCTTTTGTTAGCTATATGATCCCGTGTAAGTTAACTTTCTTGTGCCTGAGTGTATTTTTTAAAAAATTATTTTATGGGCTGGGCGCGGTGGCTCACGCCTGTAATCCCAGCACTTTGGGAGGCCGAGGTGGGCGGATCATGAGGTCAGGAGATCGAGACTACCCTGGCTAACACAGTGAAACCCCGTCTCTACTAAAAATACAAAAAATTAGCCGGGTGTGGTGGTGGGTGCCTGTAATTCCAGCTACTCGGGAGGCTGAGGCAGGAGAATGGTGTGAACCCGGGAGGTGGACCTTGCAGTGAGCCGAGGTCGCACCACTGCACTCCAGCCTGGGTGACAGAGCGAGACTCCGTCTCAAAAAAAATAATAATTATTTTATTAGCTGGGCGCGGTGGCTCACGCCTGTAATCCCAGCACTTTGGGAGGCCAAGGCAGGTGGATCACCTGAGGTCAGGAGTTCAAGACCAGCCTGGCCAACATGGTGAAACCCCGTCTCCACTAAAAATACAAACATGAGCCGGGCATGGTGGTGGGTGCCTGTAATCCCAGCTACTCGGGAGACTGAGGCAGGAGAATCACTTGAACCCGGGAGGTGGAGGGTGCAGTGAGCTGAGATGGGCCACTGCATTCCAGCCTGGGTGACAGAGTGAGACTGTGTCTCAAAAAAAAAAAAAAAAAAAGGCTGGGCGCGGTGGCTCACGCCTGTAATCCCAGCACTTTGGGAGGCCGAGGCGGGTGGATCATGAGGTCAGGAGATCGAGACCATCCTGGCTAACAAGGTGAAACCCCGTCTCTACTAAAAATACAAAAAATTAGCCGGGCGCGGTGGCGGGCGCCTGTAGTCCCAGCTACTCAGGAGGCTGAGGCAGGAGAATGGCGTGAACCCGGGAAGCGGAGCTTGCAGTGAGCCGAGATTGCGCCACTGCAGTCCGCAGTCCGGCCTGGGCGACAGAGCGAGACTCCGTCTCAAAAAAAATAATTATTATTTTATTAGCTGGGCGCGGTGGCTCACGCCTGTAATCCCAGCACTTTGGGAGGCCAAGGCAGGTGGATCACCTGAGGTCAGGAGTTCAAGACAGCCTGGCCAACATGGTGAAACCCCGTTTCTACTAAAAATACAAAAGTTAGCCAGGTGTGGTGGCACGCAACTATAATCCCAGCTACTCGGGAGGCTGAGGCATGGGGAAATCACTTGAACCCGGGAGGTGGAGGTTGCAGTGAGCCAAGATCGCGCCATTGCCCTCCAGCCTGGGAGACAAGAGCGAGACTCTGTCTCAAAAAAAAAAAAAAAAAAAAAAGTGAGTTATCATTACTGTTTTTTTCATTAAATACTTAAAATTTTACTTTTGTTTTTTATTAATGCTCAGGCTGTTCTAAGTTCTCAACACTATTACTTATTCCCCTTCCTTGATTTGATTCCTCAGCTGGAGTCCTGATGATGGATACCATAAAACCCGTGTGGCACAGGTTTGAGTAACTGGCCAGCTACAGATCACTGATCTTCCCCATAGGGATGCATACTCCTTGACCCCTTCTTTTCTCTCCTCTTCCCTTGCTTTCTAGGCTCCTGTAGCCCTCTGCCTTCTTTTCCTCCTCTCAAGACCCTTCTGACTTTGGGACTTTCTTCCCAAAACAGAATTTGAGGGAAGGTCTTGGGAGGGGTCGGTTTAGAAAGAGCTGGATCCTCAGAGTCAGGATACCTGGGTTCTGTCTTCTACTTGGCCACTGATTTACCCTTCACAAGCCACCCTTTTTGAATGTGGTCCTCCTTCCCCCAGCACCTTCCTCCTGCAACCAGAGAGGGTTCTGGGTACTCCTAGAAGTATTCTGCCAGGCAAACATTATGTTTTCAAACTGCTGAATTTGAATGCACCACCCCGAAACACACACACACACACACACACACACACTGCTACAGTCACTCCCCACACACATCTTTTATCTGCCTGCCCCTGAAGGCATCTGAATTTGCAGTCCCTGAACCAGCAGATCACTCAAGTTTCTCCTTCTCTAGTATCGCGTGGGTTTAAGTTCTGGTCAGTAGCAATTTTTCCAAAAGTCAGCTTGAAGACAGGGACTCTGTGGAGCAGACACAGTTCTCATATGTCAAAGAACCGGGTTCTGCTTGGAAGCTGCTGCTAAGGAAAGCCCTATAAATAACAAAAATAACAACAAAAACAACGGCAGCAGCTAATATTTAATGAGTTAAATATGCATCAAGTCCTGTTCTAAGCACTCTAGATATTTTAACTTAATACAGTAACCTTCTGAAGAAGGAATTATTATTCCCATTTTAAAGATGAAGAAACTGAGGAATAGATGAAATAACTGGCCCAAGGTCACACAGCTAGTTGAGGGCAGCGCCTGAAGAAAAGTCCGTGCTCCTAACCACCACATTCTACCGCCTTTTCACACACACAAGCAGGGACTCGACAGCCCTGAGGAGTGGCACCGTGCTCCAGCTCACTCAAAAACACCTCTTTCTCGCACTTTGGGAGGCCGAGACGGGCGGATCACGAGGTCAGGAGATCGAGACCATTCTGGCTAACACGGTGAAATCCCGTCTCTACTAAAAATACAAAAAAAAATGGCCGGCGTGGTGGCGGGCGCCTGTAATCCCAGCTATTCGGGAGGCTGAGGCTGAGGCAGGAGAATGACGTGAATCCGGGAGGCGGAGCTTGCAGTGAGCCGAGATCGCACCACTGCACTCCAGCCTGAGCGACACAGCGAGACTCTGTCACAAACAAAAAAATCCAACGGGCATCTATAATTACACTCTGCAACTCTAGACTTTGGGTTCTGGGTACAACAGTGGCTCGGCCTGGGCCCTGGGCACATCACTTCACCTCTCGGTGCCTCCGCTGCCTCACCCACAAAGTGAGTGTGTCACTGACAGTCATCGTCCTCCCGCCAATTGCGAAGGACAAAAGAGACCAAAGCTCCGATAGCACGTACGAATGCTAGGCACGGCCGGTCTGACCACCGCGCCGCCGCCAGGTCCGGCCCATGGTAGGCTCGGGTGACCCTCTTCCCCTGAAGCACCCGCAGTCGCCTCTGCCCAAGTTGGTGACCTCAGCTGGGCCCATGAGAAACCCCGGCCGGGCCGGCTACGACCTTGAGCGGCGGCCTCCGGGTCCCCACGTAAGCCGCTACCTCTCACCAGTGTTCGGCACCTCCCGATACCAGGCGCGGTAGAGCTCGCGCACCCTCCGCTTGGCCTCGTTCATGTCCCGACTGAAAATGGGCTTCACGAAGGTGCTGGCGGTAGAAGTAGCTTGGCGGACGCCGCTCCCCGCCATCTTGCCAAAGCATCCACTCCACAACCCCACCCCTTTGCAAGCAGCGCGTGCGGACCGCGGGCGAATGTCTTTTCCCATTGGCTAAGGAGGAACGCCCCGCCTGTATGCTGGGTGGGCGGGAGGATGACTCTGAGGCTCTCGGATTGGCTGGGAAGCCTCTCTCTGGCTGAGCGAACGGTGGGTGCTGCGCATGCTCATCTACAGAAACGCCGCTTGGCCTTTGGACTACACCATCTGTCGCTCGCTCTAACGAGCCGGCGTTGCCGCCAGGGGACGCTCGGGCCGCAGGAGGTCGCTGGGTCGTGAGCTGGCGCCGGGGACGCCGAGCGACTGCGGGGTTTCCCTCAGCGTCCTGCTATCCGGCTGCCCGCCGCGCTCCTTGGTAGTGTCCGTGGGCGCGCAGGCCTTGAAGAACCTCCTCGTGGCGGGACCCCGAGGTAACTGCTGAGGCAGATAATGGCGCCTGGGCTGCGGTGGGGCTTGTCCTGCCGCCTGGCGGCTTTCTGCAGGGCCAGGATATACTTACTTTTCTGTAAACCAACTCTTCCTTAGCGCAGGAGAGGTGTCAAAGAGCTGGCGCGTCTCCAGAGCCCCGGGAGGAAGGCTGTAACGGCAGCCCCATCGTAGACAGGGACATTCGCATCCCGAGCCCTGGATCTCTGAAAACCAGCCCAGAATTTGGAAGCTGGAAGGAACTTTAGATCGTCCATTCTGAGTGTCTCTCTTCGCTGGCGTTTTCCCACTGAGGTTATGTAAACATGAAGAGGAGCCTACAAGTGTCAAGGAAAAAACGACAGCTAACCACAGGGCAGGCCATGGGCAAGATATCTCAGTGTTCTCCGCTCTCATAGGTCAGGTAGGTACCTCAGCATCCCCATTTTACAGGTGAGGAAACTGAGATGGCCCAGAGTCTAGGTCACCTGACAGATCGCCCCCACCTGCCTGACTGCTGCCTAAGAGGCTCCGTCTTTTTCTGAAGGTGTAGTTGACAGGAGCCTGTGAGTATTGGGGAAGGGCCAGGGGCCGGGGCTGAGCATCTACTCCAAACTTTCCCATTTCGAAGGGTTAAAAAACCAGATATACTTTTTTTCTTCCTTATTATCTTCTAAAATGTATATATATATTCAAGTGAGCTATACAAAAGAAAGCACGTAACATATATAAATTATAAAGCATAATAATAAAATGGAAGCTTTTGAACCTCAGTACTGACTTAAGAAGTTGTAACACAGTTAAGGTTTGTATAAAGTGTCCTTAGATGTCCTTAGTAGCCACTGTTCTCTAGTTCTCTAGGTACATTAACTTGGCTAGGCTTCACAACACACCAGTGAGATTGTGTTGATATACCCTTTTTTTTTTTTTTTTTTGAGACAGAGTGAGACTCACCTAGGCTGGACTGCAATGGTGCAATCTCGGCTCACTGCAACCTCCGCCTCTCATGTTCAAGCCATTCTCCTGCCTCAGCTTTCCGAATCGCTGGGATTACAGGTGCGCACCACCATGCATGGCTAATGCTTGTATTTTAGTAGAGACGGGGTTTTGCTATGTTGGCCAGGCTGGTCTCAAACTCCTGACTTCAGGTGATCCACCCACCTCAGCCTCCCAAAGTGCTGGGATTACAGGTGTGAGCCACTGCCCCCGGCTGATATACTCATTTTATAGATGAGAAAACTGAGGCACAAAGAGACTAAGTTACTTTACAGCATTGGGGTTGAAGCCCAGGCAGCTGGTGCCAGAGTCAGTTTTCTGACTCTCGCAGCACCTATACCATGATATCTACCTGTATGATTCTAACCTTGTGTATACCCCTGCCTCCTTCAGAAGTACCCACTATCATGATAAATTCATTGTGTTCAACATTCAAAAAAAAAATGGGGCGCAGTGGCTCACTCCTGTAATCCCAACACTTTGGGAGGCCAAGGCAGGTGTATCACCTGATGTCAGGAGTTCGAGACCAGCCTGGCCAACATGGTGAAACCCCCGTCTCTACTAAAAATACAAAAATTAGCCGGCATGGTGGTGGGCACCTGTAATCTCAGCTACTCGGGAGGCTGAGGCAGGAGGATCGCTTGAGCCCGCGAGGTGGAGGTTGCGGTGAGCCAAGATTGCGCCGCTGGACTCCAGTCTGGGCGACAGAGTGAGACCCTGTCTCAAAAGGAAAAGAAAAAAAAGACCTCTAAACAACCCACAAACTGGGAGAAAATTTTTGCAAATCACATGTTCCATAAGGGACTTGTATCTAGGATACATAAAATTCTTACAACTCAGTAATGAAAAGACAAATAGCCAAGTTTAGAAATGGGCAAGGGAGACAACACCAAATGCTGGTGAGGATGTGAAGCAACAGGAACTCTCCTTACTGGTAGGAACGCAAAATGGTACAGCAGCTTTGGAAGACAGTTTGGCTTTCTGACAAAACTAAACATACTCCCATCAGAAGATCCAGCCATTGCATTCCTTAGTGTTTACCCAAATGAGCTGAAAACTTATGTCCACACAGAAACCTGCACATGGATGTTTACAGCAGCTTTTGTTTTTGTTTTTGTTTTTGAGATGGAGTCTCGCTCTGTCACCCAGGGTGGAGTGCAGTGGCGCGATCTCGGCTCACTGGAAGCTCTGCCTCCTGGGTTCACGCCATTCTCCTGCCTCAGCCTCCAAGTAGCTGGGACTACAGGCGCCTGCCACGAAGCCCAGCTAATTTTTTGTATTTTAAGTAGAGACGGGGTTTCACCATGTTAGCCAGGATGGTCTCGATCTCCTGACCTCGTGATCTGCCCGCCTTGGCCTCCCAAAGTTCTGGGACTACAGGCGTGAGCCACCGCTCCCGGCCAGCAGCAGCTTTATTTGTAATTGCCAAAACTTGAAAGCAACCAAGATGTCCTTTAGCAGGTAAATGGATAAATAAACCTTGGTATATCCAGACAATGGACTATATTCAGCACTAGAAAGAAATGAGCTATTAAGCCATGAAAAGGCATGGAGAAACCTTAAATGCATATTAGTAAGTGAAAGAAGACAATCTGAAAGAGCTACATACTGTATGATTCCAACTATATTACATCCTGGAAAAGGCAAAACTATGGAGACAATAAAAAAGATGGCAGGGGCTGGGAGTGGGGAGAAATGCACAGAGGTGGTGCACAGAGAATATTTAGGGTAGTGAAATTACTCTGGATGTTATAATGGTGGATACATGTTATTACACATTTGTCAAACCCTACAGGATGTACAACACCAAGAATGAAACCTAATGTAAACTATGGGATATGGGTGATACTGGTGTGTCAATGTAGCTTCATTGCTTATAACAAATATATCCTCTGGTGCCTGATGTTGTTGGTGGGGGGAGGCTATGAGTGTGTGTGGGGTGGGGGAACCCTGTATTTTCTGTTCAGTTTTGCTGTGAACTCGAAACTGCTCTTAAAGATGAAATTTTTATTTTAATGGGTAAAGTATTTGAATAACCATTTCTCCAAAGAGGATATACGGGTGACCAATAAGTACATGAAAAGACATTCAACATCATGAGCCATTAGGGAAATAAAAATCAAAACCCTCGTGAGATACCATTTCTCACCCAGTAGAATGGCTAGAGTGAAAAAGGCAGACACAGCCAGTCACGGTGGCTCACACCTGTAATCCCAGCATTTTGAGAGGCCAAGGCCAGTAGATCACTTGGGTTCAGGAGTTTGAGACCAGCCTGGCCAACGTGGTAAAACCTCCTCTCTACTAAAAATAGGAAAATTAGCTGGGCATGGTAGTGCATGCCTGTAATCCCAGCTACTAGGGAGGCTGAGGCAGGAGAATTGCTTGACCCGGGAGGTGGAGGTTGCAGTGAGCCCAGATCATGCCATTTCACTCCAGCTTGGGTGACAGAGCAAGACTCCATCTCAAAAAAAAAAAAAAAAAGACAAAAGATAGTGTTGGCAAGGATATAGAGAAATTAGAACTTTCTATACTTTGCTGGTGGGAATGTAAAATGGTGTAGCCATTTGGGAAAACAGTCTGGCAGTTTCTTAAACAGTTAAATATGGCCAGGAGTGGTGGTACTCACTTGTAAGAGGCCGAGGCAGAAGCATTGCTTGAGCTTAGGAGTTTGAGACCAGACTAGGCAAAATAATGAGACCGTATTTAAAAAAAAAAAAAAAAGTTAAACGTGGACTTACTATATGATCCAGCAATTCCAATCCTAGGTATTTACCCTGAAGAAATTTTTTTCCACACAAAGACTTGTATGCAAATGTTCATAGCAGCATTATTCACCATAGCCAAAAACTAAAAACACCCAAATGGCTATCTGTTGATAAGTGGATAAACAGAAGGTGGTCTGTCACCCAGGCATGGTGGCTCATTCCTATAATGTCAGGATTGCTTGAGGCCAGGAGTTTGAGAACAGCTTGGGCAACATAGTGAGACTGCATCTGTTGAGGGAAGTCAGGAACCCCGAACGGAGGGACCGGCTGAAGCCGTGGCAGAAGAACATAAATTGTGAAGATTTCACGGACATTTGTTAGTTCCCCAAATTAATACTTTTATAATTTCTTACACCTGTCTTTACTGCAGTCTCTGAACATAAATTGTGAAGATTTCATGGACACTTATCACTTCCCCAATCAATAGCCTTGTGATTTCCTATTCCTGTCTTTAATCTCTTAATCCCGTCATCTTCGTAAGCTGAGGAGGATGTATGTCGCCTCAGGACCCTGTGATGATTGCATTAACTGCACAAATTGTTTGTAGAGCATGTGTGTTTGAATAATATGAAATCTGGGCACCTTGAAAAAAGAACAGGATAACAGCAACGTTCAGGGAACAAGAGAGATAACCTTAAACTCTTGACTGCCAGTGAGCCGGGCGGAACAGAGCCATATTTCTCTTCTTTCAAAAGCAAATGGGAGAAATATCGCTGAATTCTTTTTCTCAGCAAGGAACGCCCCTGAGAAAGAGAATGCGTCCCTGAGGGTAGGCCTCTGAAATGGCCACTTGGGGGGTGGCTGTATTTTACAGTCACAGCTGTAGGGATGAAATAAGCCCCAGTCTCCTGTAGCGCTCCCAGGCTTATTAGGATGAGGAAATTCCCACCTAATAAATTTTGGTCAGACCGGTTGTCTGCTCTCAAACCCTGTCTCCTGATAAGATGTTATCAGTGACAATGCATGCCCAAAACTTCATTAGCAATTTTAATTTCGCCCCGGTCCTGTGGTCCTGTGAACTCGCCCTGCCTTCATTTACCTTGTGATATCTTATTACCTTGTGAAGCATGTGATCTCTGTGACCCACACCCTATTCGTACACTCTCTTCCCTTTTGAAATCGATAATAAAAACTTGCTGGTTTTATGGCTCAGGGGGCATCACGGAACCTGCTGACATGTGACGTCTCCCCCGGACACCCAGCTTTAAAATTTATCTCTTTTGTACTCTGTCCCTTTATTTCTCAGACCGGCCGACACTTAGGGAAAATAGAAAAGAACCTACGTGAAATATCAGGGGTGAATTTTGCCCGATAGCATCTCTACAAAAATTTGTTTAAAATAGCCAAGCATGGTGGTACGTGTCTATAGTCCCAGCTACTCGAGGGGCTGAGGTAGGAGGATTGCTTGAAGCCAGGAGTTCGAGGCTACCATAAACTATGATCCTACCACTGTACTCCAGCCTGGGTGACAAAAAAACAAACCTAAACAAAACACAAAATATGGTGATACGGTTTGGATATTTGTCCCTTCCAAATCTCGTCAAAATGTCATCCCCAGTGTTGGAGTTGAAGCCTGGTGGAAGGTGAATGGATCATGGAGGCAGATCCCTCATGAACGGCTTAGCACCATCCCCTTGGTGATGAGTGAGTTCATCTGTAATCTGGTTGTTAAAGGTGTGTGGCATCTCCCGCTTTGCTCTCTTGTTCCTGCTGTCACCATGTGACATCCCTGCTCTCCCTTTTCCTTCTGCTGGGATTTGAAGCTTCCTGAGGCCCTCACCAGGAGCAGATGCTGGAGCCATGCTTGCACAGCCTGCAGAACTGAATCAATTAAACCTCTTTTTCCTCTCTCTCTTTTTTTATTTTTATTTTTTTTGATATGGAGTCTCACTCTGTCACCCAGGCTGGAGTGCGATGGCACGATCTCAGCTCACTGTAACCTCCGCCTCCCGGGTTCAAGCGATTCTCCTGCCTCAGCCTTCCAAGTAGCTGGGATTATAGGCGTACGCCACCATGCCCAGGAGGCAGAGGTTGCAGTGAGCCGAGATCACACCACTGCACTCCAGCCTGGGTGACAGAGCAAGACTCCGTCTCAGGGAAAAAAAAAAAAAACTACCAAATTGTTTTCCAGAATAACTGAATCATTTTACATTCTCATTGGCAATTCATGAGTGATCTAGTTTCTCCACATCCTCTTCTACATTTGGTGTAGCAACTGTTTACATTTAGCCATTTGGAATAAGTGTACAGGGATAGCCCATTGTAGTTTTAGTTTGCATTTCCTTAATGGCTAGTGATATTGAACATCCTTTCCCAAGTTTATTTCCAATGTGTATATTCTCTTTACTGAAGTGCTTTTTCATGTCTTTTGCACATTTTTATTTAGATTATTTATTTTTGAGTTTTGGGAGTTCTTTATATATTCTAGATACTAGTCCTTTATCAGATACGTAGTTTGCAAATATTTTCTCCCACTCTATGCCTTTTCATCCTCTGAACAGGGTCTTTCACAGAGTAAAAGTGCTTAATTTTGATGAAATCTATTTTATTATTTTTCCTGTTATGGATTGTGCTTTTAGTGTCAAGACTAAAAATGCCTTGTGTAGCTCTAGGTCCAGAAGATTTTCTCCTAAATGTTTGATGATGTACATTTAAGTCCATGGTTTGGTTTGGTTTTTGTTTTTTGGTTTTTGTTTTTCTTTGAGACAGTCTTATTCCCTCACCCAGGCTGGAGTGCAGTGGCATGATCTTGGCTTACTGCAACCTCTGCCTCCCAGGTTCAAGCGATTCTGGTGTCTCATCCTCCAAAGTAGCTGGAATTATAGATGCGCACCATCACGCCCAGCTAATTTTTGTATTTTTAGTAGAGACAGGGTTTCACCACGTTGGCCAGGCTGGTCTTGAACTCCTGACTTCAAGTGATCTACCTGCCATGCTGGAATTATAGGCATGAGCCACTGCACCTTGTTGTAATTTTTGTATATAATGTAAGATTTATTTCAAGGTTCATTTTCTTGCCTATGAATATCTGATTACTCCAGAACCATTTGTTGAAAAGCCATTTTTCCTCCATTGAATTGCATCAGCACCTTTGTAAAAAACCAACTGGGCACATATTAGTTGGTGACAAATTCTTTTAGTTTTCCTTCCTTTGAGAATTTTACAATTTCCCCCAGCATTCTTGAAGGATATTTTCATTGGATATGGGATTCTGAGTTGATAGTTTTTTTAACAATGGAAAAGTGTTGTGTCACTTCTTTCTGGTTTCTGTTGTCTCTGATGAGAAATAAGCTGTCATTCAAATTATTTTTTCTATATAAGTAACATATTGTTTTTCTCTGGCTGCTTTCAAAAAATTTTTTTGTTTTGTTTTCAGAAGTTTGACTATAATGTATCTTGGTGTGAACTTCTTTGGGTTTATCCCAATTGGAATTCTCTCAGCTTCTTGAATCTATTGTTTTATGCATTTTGCCAAGTAGGAAAGTTTTCTTTGAATATTTGTTCATTTGATTATTTATTTATTAATGTATTTTTTTGAGACAGGGTCTTGCTCTGTTATCCAGGCTGGAGTACAGTGGCAGAATCATGGCTCACTGCAACCTAGACCTTCCAGGCCGAAGCGTTCCTCCCACTTCAGTCCCCAGAGTAGCTGGGACCACAGGTGTGCACCACCACACTCAATTTTTTTGTTTTTGAGGCGGAGTCTCGCTCTTTCACCAGGCTGGAGTGCAGTGGCATGATCTTGGCTCACTGCAATGTCTGCCTCCCAGATTCCAGTGATTCTCGTGCCTCAACCTCCTGAGTAGCTGGGATTACAGGTGCCTGCCACCATGCCTGGCTAATTTTTGAATTTTTGGTAGAGACGGGGTTTTACCAAGTTGGCCAGGATGGTCTCAATCTCTTGACCTCATGATCCGCCTGCCTTGGCCTCCCAAAGTGCTGGGATTACAGGCGAGAGCCACCACGCCCGGCCCCCTCCTATGTTGTCCAGGCTGGCCCCAAACTCCTGGGCTCAAGCAATCCTTCTGCCTCTGTCTACCAAAATGCTGGGATTACAGGGATGAGCTATCATGCCCCACTCTGATCTTTTATTAACAGTCTCACAGGCCCTGAGGTTGTGTTTATTATTTGTTTCTTTTCTTTTCTTCTTTTTTTTTTTTTTTTTTTTTTTTTTTTTGGTTGAGATGGAGTCTCGCTCTGTCGCCCAGGCTGGAGTACAGTGGCGCGATCTTGGCTCTGCCTCCCGGGTTCACACCATTCTCCCGCCTCAGCCTCCCGAGTAGCTGGGACTACAGGTGCCCACCACCATGCTCGGCTAATTTCGTTTTTGTATTTTTAGCAGAGACGGGGTTTCACCGTGTTAGCCAGGGATGGTCTCGATCTCCTGACCTCATGATCCACCCACCTCAGCCTCCCAAAGTGCTGGGGTTACAGGCATGAGCCACTGTACCGGCCTCTTTTATTTTCTCTTTTCTTTCTTGTTTACTTTTTCCAGTCCATTTTCTCTCTGTTGTTCAGATTGAGTAATTTCTGTTGTCCTGTCTTCCAGTTAACTGCTTGTGTTGTCCTCTTTTCCACTTTTGAGCCCATTCACTGAGCTTTTTATTTCGTTGTTGTATTTTCTATTTCTAAAATTTCTATCTGATTCTTCCTTATATCTCCTATTTCTATGCTGAGACTCTTTTTTATTTTTTCAACATGTTCATAACTGTATTTTTTTTTTTTGAGATGGAGTCTCACTCTGTCGCCCAGGCTGAAGTGCAGTGGCACGATCTCGGTGCACTGCAACCTCTGCCTCCCAGGTTCAAAAGATTCTCCTGCCTCAGGCTCCCGGGTAGCTGGAATTACAGGCATGCACCACCACACCCAGCTAATTTTTGTACTTTTTGTAGAGACAGGGTTTAACCACGTTGCCCAGGCTTGTCTCGAACTCCTGGACTCAAGCAACCAACCTGACTTGGCCTCTCAAAGTGCTGGGATTACAGGCATGAGCCACTTTGCCCGGCCTGAGTTGCATTCCTCTATGAATTTTAGAAAAAGCAATCAATTTCAACAAGAAAATTGCTGGAATTTTTATTGATTACACTGAATCTATAGATTAATTTGAGAGGAACTGACATCTTTAAAATGTTGAGTCTTCTGATTCATGACCATGGTATGGCTCTTCATTGATTTACATCGTCTTTAATTTCTCTCAGCAATGTTTTGTAGTTATTAGTGTATGATTTTGCATGTAGCTTTTGTTATATTTTTTGTCTATGTATTTTATATTTTGGATGCTGTTATAACTGGTTTTTAAGAAGTTTTAATTCCCAATTGTTTATTCCTATTATATAGCAATATAATTGATTTTAATACAGTGATCTTGCATCCTTCAGCCTTGTTAAGCTGTAGTTGCTTTTTGGATGATCCCACAGGATTTTACACACAATCATGTTATTTGAAAATACAGTTTTATTTCTTTCTTTCCAATCTGATTGCCTTTTACTTCTCTTTTTTGACTTGTTCACTGGCTAGAGCTTCTAGCACAATATCATACAGAAGTGATGAGGGTAGACCGGGTGCGGTGGCTCATGCATGTAATCCCAGCACTTTGGGAGGCCGAGGCAGGCGGATCACCTGAGGTCAGGAGTTCGAGACCAGCCTGGCCAACATGGTGAAACCCCATCTCTACTAAAAATACAAAATTTAGCTTGGCGTGATGGTGCACACCTATAATTCCAGCTACTTGGGAGGCTGAGGCAGGAGAATCGCTTGAACCTGAGAGGCAGAGGTTGCAGTGAGCTGAGATCATGCCATTGCACTCCAGCCTAGGTGACAGAACGAGACTCTGCCTCAAAAAAAAAAGCAATGAGGGCAGACTTTTTTTGCCTTAAATTAAGACATTCCTGGCCAGCTGTGGTGGCTCATGTCTGTAATGCCAATACTTTGGGAGGCCAAGGTGGGTGGATCACCTGAGATCAGGAATTTGAGACCAGCCTGGCCAACATGGTGAAACCCCGTTTCTACTAGAAATACAAAAATTAGCTGGGCGTGGCGGCAGGCACCTGTAATCCTAGCTATTCAGGTGGCTGAGGTAGGAGAATCACTTAAACCTGGGAGGCGGAGGTTGCAGTGAGCCAAGATTGTGCCCTTACACTACAGCCTGGGTGACAAGAGTGAAAGTCTGTCTCAAAATAAATAAATAAATAAATAAATAAATAAATAAAGACATTTCTGAACTTAGGAACAAAGCATTTAGTATTTTACCATTGAGTATGTTGCTAGCTGTAGGTTTTTCGTAGATACCCCTCATCGGATTGAAAATGTTTCCATGAATTCCTCGTTTGCTGGGAATTTTCTTTTCTTTGAGGTTCAGATGTTGATTTTGTGAAATATATTTTATGCATCTATTGATATAATCATGGAATTTTTCTTTTTCTGTCTGTTAATATGGTTAATTTCATTTATTGGTTTTTGAATGTTGAACCAACCTTGCATTCCTGGGAGTAAATGCTATAGATAATGTTGTATATATTTACATATTATTTTCAATGTGATAAGATTTTGTTAATATTTGCATCTGTGTTTATGAGGATGTTAATCTGTATCATCTTTACCTGTTTTTTTTTTGTTGTTTGTTTGTTTTTGAGATGGAGTCTTGGTCTGTTGCCCAGGCTAGAGTGCAGTGGCGTGATCTTGGCTCACTGCAACCTCTGCCTCCTGGGTTCAAGTGATTTCCCTGCCTGAGCCTCCCGAGTAGCTGGCAGTACAGGTGCTTGCCACCATGCCCAGCTAAATTTTGTATTTTTAGTAGAGATGGGGTTTCATCGTGTTGGTCAGGCTGGACTCGAACTCCTGAACTCAAGTGATCCGCCTGCCTCAGCCTCCCAAAGTGCTGGGATTACAGGTGTGAGCCACTGTGCCTGGCCCATTAAGGTGCATATGTATTTAGGATTGTGATATTTTCCTGTTGGACTGATTTTTTTTTTTTTTTTGAGACAGAGTCTCGCTCTGTCTGCCCAGCCTGGAGTGCAGTGGCGTGATCTCAGCTCTCATCTCACTGCAAGCTCCGCCTCCTGGATTGATGCCATTCTCCTGCCTCAGCCTCCCGAGTAGCTGGGACTACAGGTGCCCACCACCACACCCGGCTAATTTTTTTGTATTTTTAGTAGAGACGGGGTTTCACCATGTTAGCCAGGATGGTCTTGATCTCCTGACCTCGTAATCCGCCCGTCTCAGCCTCCCAAAGTGCTGGGATTCCAGGTGTGAGCCACTGCGCCCGGCTGGACTGATCTTTTATCGTTATGTAATGTCCCTTTTTGTCTTTTTTTTTTTTTTTTTTTTTTTTTGAGACAGAGTCTCACTCTGTTGCCCAGGCTGGAGTGCAGTGGCGCAATCTCGGTTCACTGCAAGCTCCACCTCCCGGCTTCACACCATTCTCCTGCCTCAGCCTCCAGAGTAGCTGGGACTACAGGCACCCACCACCATGCCCAGCTCATTTTTTTGTATTTTTTTAGTAGAGACGGGGTTTCACCATGTTAGCCAGGATGGTCTCGATCTCCTGACCTCATGATCCACCCGCCTTGGCCTCCCGAAGTGCTGGGTTTACAGGTGTGAGCTACCACGCCTGGCCCCTTTTTGTCTTTTTTTTAACCGTTGTTGCTTTAAAGTCTGTTTGTGTGATATAGGAATAGCTACTCGGCAAGGCATGATGGCTCATGCCTGTAATCCCAGCACTTTGGGAGGCTGAGACAGGTGGATCACGAGGTCAGGAGATTGAGATCATCTTTGCCACCATTGTGAAACCCCATCTCTACTAAAAATACAAAAATTAGCTTGGTGTGGTGGCATGCCCCTGTAGTCCCAGCTACTCGGGAGGCTGAGGCAGGAGAATTGCTTGAACTCAGGAGGCAGAGGTTGCAGTGAGCCAAGTTAGCGCCACTGCATTCCAGCCTGGTGACAGAGCAAGACTTAGTCTCAGAAAAAAAAACAAAAACAAAAAAACATAGCTACTCTTGGCCAGCTCACATCTATTATCCTAGCACTTTGGGAGGCCAAGGCAGGCAGATCATGAGGTCAGGAGATTGAGACCATCCTGGCTAACATGGTGAAACCCTGTCTCTACTAAAAATACAAAAAATTTAGCTGGGCATGGTGGCGCATGCCTGTAGTCCCAACTACTTGGGAGGCTGAGGCAGGAGAATTGTTTGAACCCAGGAGGCAGAGGTTGCAGTGAGCCGAGATCGTGCCACTGCACTCCAGCCTGGGCAACAGAGCGAGACTCCATCTCAAAGAAAAAAAAAAAAGAATAGCTACTCGTACTTGCTTTTGGTTTCCATTTGCGTGCAGTATCTTTTTCTACCCCTTTACCTTAAGTTTATGTGAGTCCCTATGCATTAGATGAGTCTCTTGAAGACAGCAGATGGTTGGTTGGTGAATTTTATCCATTCTGTGTCTTTTAAGTGGAGCATTCAGGCCATTTACATTCAATGTTGGTATTGAATTATGAGATAGTGTTTTATTCATAGTGATAGTTGTGCTTTTTTAAATTGTGTTATTGTTTTATAAGCCTTTTAAAACATATACTTAAAGGAGGTTCTATTTTTGTTTCAAGATTTAGAACTCCTTTTGACATTTCTTGTAGTGCTGGCTTGCTAGTGGCAAATTCTCTCAGCATTTGTTTGTCTGAAAAAGACTTTATCTCTCCTCATTTATGAAGCATAGTTTTGCTGGATACAAAATTCTTGGCTGGCAATTATTTTGTTTGAGGAGGCTAAAGATAGGACCCCAATCCCTTCTGGCTTATAGGGTTTCTGCTGAGAAATCTGCTGTTAATCTGATAGGATTTCCATTGTAGGTTCCCTGATGCTTTTGCCTCATGGCTCTTAAGATGTTTCCCTTCATCTTGACTTTAGATAACCTGATGACTGTGTGCCTAGGTAATTATCTTTTTGCAATGAATTTTTCAGGTGTTCTTTCAGCTTCTTGTATTTAGATGTTTAGATCTCTGGTGAGAGCAAGGAACTTTTCCTTGATTATTCCCTCCAATAAGCTTTCTAAATGTTTAGATTTCTCTTCTTCCTGAGGAACACCAATTATTCTTAGGTCTGGCTGTTTAACGTAATCCCAAATTTCTTGGAAGCTTTGTTCATTTTTAAAAATTCATATTCGCCGGGCGCAGTGGCTCACGCCTGTAATCCCAGCACTTTGGGAGGCCGAGGCAGGCAGATCACAAGGTCAGGAGATCGAGACCATCCTGGCTAACACGGTGAAACCCCATCTCTACTAAAAATACAAAAAATAAGCCAGGTGTGGTGGCGGTCGCCTGTAGTCCCAGCTACTCAGGAGGCTGAGGTAGGAGAATGCTATGAACCCAGGAGACAGAGCTTGCAGTGAGCCGAGATCACGCCACTGCACTCCATCCAGCCTGGGCAACAGAGCGAGACTGTCTCAAAAAAAAAAAATTCTTTTTTATTTGTCTTTGTCTGGTTGAGTTACTTCAAATGCTTTGTCTTCAAGCTCTGAAGTTCTTTCTTCTACTTGTTGGAGATAAATGTTCAGTGCCACAAAGCGAAACCAGCACTCAGGCAAAAATTTTCTCAGCAAGGCAATTTACTTCTGCAGAAGGGTGCTGCTTGTGTCAATCACGATTGCAAGAGCACACTGAACAAAGGAAAGCAGGGGTTTTTATTCCTAATGCAGTCCCTGCCTCTTTGTCATTCCTCCATGGGCTGTGGTTGGACCGCACAATCTAAACTGACCCAATTGGCTATTTGTGAATACTTTCCCAAATAAGGAAGGGAAGGGAAATGTGAGTTACAATGGTGGGATGTGCGGTTTCAAAGGGAGGAACGGGTGAAGAGTGGGTAACCA
This sequence comes from Homo sapiens, assembly GCF_000001405.40. NCBI lineage: Eukaryota > Metazoa > Chordata > Mammalia > Primates > Hominidae > Homo > Homo sapiens. The sequence continues at coordinate 27,138 of NW_003315971.2, forward strand.
AGGGAACAGATGTGAGTTATTGATTAGGACTGACAGGAAAGTTGTTTACAGTTACAGTAACTAGGGGCAAGGAGGCATAGAGAACAAGAAAGTTGAGTTTGAGAACAAAGAACAAGGAAGTTAACAGGCTAAACCTTTGAAGAATTTTATTGTATCCTACAATTTCCCCCTTTTAATTTTTATAGTTCTTCCTCTTCAAACCTTTTTAAGATGTCTTGGCTTTGCTGTTTGACTTGATCGTCTGAAAGGAAACGCTTATCTGAATAAGGTGGAGGAGAGCTAAGGGAGATTTTAGTAAGTGCTGTTTCTATAAGCCTTTGTACTAGCCCATGGTTGCATGGTGTGACACAACACCCAACAAGAATGAGTACACCTATTATGACTGCAAGAGAAGTAAGAATTGAGGCTATGATTCCTTTCTATTTACCAAACCACCTGTCTAGCCATCCTGAAGAAGGGTTATTGACTCCAGAATTTTTAGCTAATTCATTAGATAAAATGGTAAGTCCTTGTAAGGCTTTTGTTATGCTCCCATCTGGGGCAGTATGGTTTGGGATGAAGGTACGACACTGAGTTTTAATCATAACACAAACTCTACCTTTTTCAGCTAGTATCATGCCTAGGGCCATTCTGTTTTCCTAAGCCATCTGGCTAGTCAGCCCTAACTCCTCAGCTATTCCTTTGACAGCATCCCTGGTATAATTAATAAACTGCTGTTGGTTATAATAGATGTAATTTATACAGTCTACATTTTTATTAATAGTTACCCATGGAAATATTGATTCAAATCCTGCAGACTATTTGGTCCCGGGCTTTTAATTTATCAGGTACTCCCCATGGGACTCCAGTTGCATCTAAATAAACTTGAGAGTCAAAAAACCTATAAGGGGCTTCTCTTATTTTATGGTGTTGTGGCTTTTCTTTTTCTGGCTGATGAAACGCCAGGGTGAAAGGGATAGCCAAATGGACAAGAGTGCAGGTACCACTCCAGTTACTTGGCAGAGTGTCCAGTAAGGGTCCGCCACAATACCACCATACATCTTCTTGAGGATGACTAAGGGCAGACTGATGGGTAAGCTCTTGGAAAGGCTTAAGCTCACTGCATCCTGTTAAGCTTCCAAGGAACACCAAGTTTTCCCCTTGTCGTGAGAGACAGGACGTGAAATTGACATTGGGAGCCAGAAGCTGGATGGCCCTCTGGGGCTGACCCGCAGGATATTGAACTTTGGGATAGAGCAAAGAGAGAGCTTGGCATGATTGATTGCCCCAAGCTATGGAATCCTGGAAGAGAGCTACCATGCTGCCCATGCCTGGTTGACTGGGGGACCAGCCGAGTGTAAAGGGGTCTATCTGGGTCTCTGGCTGGCCGTGAGCACAAGCATAACAATTGCTTTTGTTTCATGTGCGGACAGAATATTTGGTCCATTCCAACCAGGCATTTGCATCTTGATATTTTGTTTCAATTGCTAAAGTTTGCCTTAGATCATTTACTTCTACAATATCTACTTTAGTCTTATCATTGGGTATAGAAGGTATGGCAGTCTGATTAGAAGAAGGCTTAGAAGGAGAAGAGAGGGAAGAGGGTGAAGAGGATGAGGGATTAATAAAACGCATTTCAAAAGACCCTATGAGGTCTGTGCCGCGTTGGTCCCTATGCCATAGAAGCGACTCAAAGTAGGTCTAGAGGGTCGGTAGAGGCCGGAGTGAGAGTAGAAATCTGCACTGGATTACACTGGTTATACTGAAAATCGAGGGGAGGGGTGCTTCCTTTAGTAAAGTGAATGTATGATTTTAAGTATATACAGCCACATGTTGATGAGGTCCAGCCTTGATACTCAGTTGTCCACAGAACATCATTCCAGCTATGGCAGACCTGTTTCCCTATATTTTATGAGGAGCAAGAGTCTTGGTAGCGGGAGCCTTTTATTTTAAAGTGGCAGAGATACTTTTCTAAGGCTGAGAGTTGCCTTTGACTTTGGAGATCTCTACAGGGTATGACTAAACAGGCATCAAACATAATAACTTGGGGTGAGTTTGATTTAGTCACATTGATAACAAGGTGGTCAGCAACAGAATGAGGAAAGAAGAAAGAGTAATAGAGTAGACGAAAGAGAGTTAAACTTTTCTTAGCTTTAGTTTGAGGGGGTTTTCCCCTGGGATAATGGCCCATGACTCTGGAGGTGACAGTGCTTTCTTGACTCAGGTGTGATGGGTCTATCCTTTTTCTGCTGTCCGGACTGCAGTTTCAGTGGTTAGAAGCACCAGGTAAGGTCCTTCCCAGGCTGGCTCAAGTTTCTCCTCTTTTCAGCTCTTGATAAGGACGTGATCCCCAGGCTGATGTTGATGTACTGGGAACTCCAGAGGCAGAGCCTGTGCTAGGAGACCTTTGGTTTTAAGAAAAGAGAAAGTAGGGGAGAGACTAAGAATATAATTCCTGAGGAACTGGTGTTTTTGGAACATCAGCAGTGGAGTGTAAATAAGGCAATCCATAGAGCATCTTGTAAGGGGAAAGGCCAGTATCTTTTCGAGGAGCAGTTTGGATTCTTTTTTTTTTATTTGGTTTTGTCAAATGTTTTATTGAGTGTAGACATCTGGAGTACTATAAAACATGCATTATCTGTAGATTCAAAAAGGAGCAAGCCACATTGTTCTCACTGTCAAATGTGTTAGGCTTGGCATACATGATGGAGATTAATGAAGTATCATGAGAGTAACATGGTTCTTGAAAAGCTTCTATAATTTGGAGTAGGGTCTTAATCACATGAAAAGCAAAGGTGTTCACATTTAGTGAACTTGCATTTCATTGGGGGGAGAGGGTACACAGTATTTTAATTTTAAAACAAAAATAATTTGTTTGTCAAAGATTCCCATCTCCCCAACTTTATTTGTCCCATTGGTTTTCAGAAATTTTAATTTTTAAAAAATCAGATGCCTTTTGGAAGTTGTATGTTTATCTGAGCAGTAACTAAATTTTATTTCTTCTTCAGTTGTTAAGGTGTGTTAAATTTGAAGAAGATAATATCTCCATCTTCAACAATATAATTTCTGCCTTGTTGTCTGTACTTTCCAGCAGCCTTGACTGCATTTTCAGAACCTTCCTCTTTAAAATCTTCATATTTCATTACTTCAGCCATAATGAATCCCTTTTCAAAATCTGTGTGAATCTTTCCTGCAGCCTGAGGAGCCTTAGTCCCTTTCCTGATGGTCCGTGCACGCACTTCATCTGGGCCTGCAGTGAAAAAGTATTTTAGTTGGAGTGCTGCAAACCCAGCCTTAATGATCTTTGGCAAAGCACTTTGTGTCATGTTCGCTTCCAGATACTGCTGTCTCTCCTCAGCACTCAATTCTTGCAACTTGAGTTCCAAGGCCCCACTAAAAGGAATGACCAAGGCACCTGGGTCATACTTGTCCACCCACTCTTTAATTTTTATCAGCCATTTGTTTTTCTTTCTAATGTAGTCTTTTTCAGAAAGATTAACCAAGTAGACCATTGGTTTTGAAGTCAAAAATAAGTGTTTATTCAACACTTCAATCTCTTTGTCATTCCAATCATGATAGAAGCGAACAGGTTCTTTTGATCTATAACCCAGGATTTTACTTTGCACATTATATCATATTTGGGTTTTAGTTTTTTATCTCCTCCTCTCACAGCCACCTTTTCTAGTTTATCTATAATGGGCCCAGTCATTCCTCATCTTTAAGCTGAAGCTCTTCATGTATTATTTCTATATCTCGAATAGGATCTACACTTTCTTCAACATGTGTGATATCATCATCTTCAAAAGCACGTGTTAGATGAAAGATGCCATCACAAGCACTAAAATGAGATAAAAAAGCATTCCCCAGGCCCTGCCCATTGTGAGCTCCTTTCACAAGGCCAGCAATATCCACTACATTTAGAAAGGCAGGAATTTTGCTTGCTGGTTTGTGATATTGGCAAAGAAAGTCAAACCTTTCATCTGGCACAGGTACTCTGCTCTCATTAGGATCAATAGTGCAGAATGGGAAGTTTTCTGCTGAAGCCTGACTATTGGTTAATACATTGAAGAAAGTAGATTTCCCAACATTTGGCAATCCAACAATACCAATTTTCAGTGAGGTTCCAAATCTTCCAATGATTGGGGGTGGTTTAATTCCATCACCTCCCTTTTGAGGGGGCATCGTGCTCAGCCTGGGCTATGACACGGGGTCCCAGTAGCAGCGAGAGAAAGGTCCTGCCGGCAGCCAGAGGCGGGGAGGAAGGAGGAGAGAACGCAGGCCCGGCCCCTCCGCCGAGCGGCATGCCGCACTACGGCGGCGACAGCGGTGGAACCGCCGTTTGGATTCTTAACAGGGCAATAGGAAGATATTTGATCCCTGGCAACCGAATCTATAGAACTAACTTGGTTAAATGGTTCTTTAAGGTCTGATTCATCCTTTCTACTCTCCCTGATGAAGGTGGGTGCCAAGGAGTATGATATTTCCATCTAATGTCTAGCGCTTAGGATAGCTTTTTAATGATATGTGCTATGAAATAGGTTTCACTGTCTGAGTCAATATTTTCTATTAGCCCAAACCTGGGCACTATATTTTCAATTAATGCTTTAACTACATGATTGGCCATTGCATTTGAAAAGGGAATAGCTTCGACCCAGTGAGTGAGGTGATCTGCTATTACTAAGTACTTTAGGCAACCGATTGGGGGCATTTCAATGTAATCAGTTTGAACACTTTGGAATGGTCTTAGCCCTGAATCCCTCCCCGCCCAGGGATGATTTCTTTATAACTTGTTTGTTGGTTTCCTTACATGTTAAGCAACTATCCATAACCTGTTTGGCTAGGGTATATACCCATAAACCCTGAGAACTGTGTCACACATGGCTTGGGGTCCCCAGTGTGTCCCTTGATGCAGGTGGGTAGGATTTCTCTCATGAGCGGTTTGAATAGCATTTCTCTTTGATCTGGTAACACCCATTTTCCTTCTGAGTTTTCTTTGGCTCCATTTTTATTAATTTTTCCTTTTCTGCAGCAGACAAGGTAGGGGTTGCAGCAGGGGGAGGAAGACGAGGGGTTAAGTGAAAGGTGTTTCAGATGAAATGGCAGCCTGTTTAGCCACTTGATCTGCAAGGTTATTTCCCTGACTTGTAAAGGAAAAGTCGTTTTGGTGTCCGGGGACATGTACAATGGCTATTTCTTCTGGCAACTGGAGATTGTTTAAAACATGGACGATTAGCTCCTCGTGGGTAAGATATTTTGGCCTTTAGTTTTTTTTTGTTTTTTGGTGTTTTTTTGAGACGGAGTCTTGCTCTGTCACCCAGGCTGGAGTGCAGTGGCACGATCTCAGCTCATTGCAAGTTCCACCTCCCGGGTTCACGCCATTCTCCTGCCTCAGCCTCCTGAGTAGCTGGGACTACAGGATCCCGCTACCACACCTGGCTAATTTTTTTGTATTTTTAGTAGAGACGGGGTTTCACCATGTTAGCCAGGATGGTCTTGATCTCCTGACCTCGTGATCCGCCCACCTCAGCCTCCCAAAGTGCTGGGATTACAGGCATGAGCCACCGCGCCTGGCCTGGCCTTTAGTATTAATAAGACCTTGCTCAGCCCAAATTTTTCCAAATATATGAGCTACTCCAAAAATGTATTTAGAATCAGTATGAATAGTTCCTTCCTTGCTCTGTAAGTGTTTTAAAACCTGGCTGAGTGCAAATAGTTCACATGCTTTGGCAGACCAACTATTGGGCAACCTTCCTGACTCTGTTTCTTCAAGAGTTTCTCCATCAATTACTGAATACCCATTGTATTTTTCTCCTTTAATTGCTTGGGATCAACCATCTATAAATAAGTGTCACCCCATTTTGAAAGGGGTCTCTCTTAGATCCGGCCTGACCTTTGTTTGGTAGTCAGTTAGATCTAGACATAAGTGTTCTCTTTTTAGATTTGGGTCCCCTGTTAAGAAACCTCTCGGATTGAGTGAGTTATCAGTAGTCAAGGTTAAATCATCTTTTTAGTAAAATAGCCTCCTATTTTAAGATTCTGGAGTCAGTGAGCCACCTTCCTGCTTTTTTATTTAAAATAGCTCTAACTTGGTGGGGTGTGCTTACAGTCAATTTCCCCCCAAAGATTAATTTTCTACTTTCTTCAACTAATACTGCTGTAGCTGCAACGAATTGGATGCACTGAGGCTACCCACAGGTGACTGGGTCTAAAATTTTTGATAGGAAGGCTACGGGCTGCCGGTGACCACCATGTTCTTGAGTAAGAACCCCTAAAGCTACCCCGTTATTTACATTAACAAAAAGATGAAATGGCTTTTCTAGGGAAGCTAAGGCTAAGACAGGGGCAGTTATGAGTTTGTATTTCAGCTCTTCAACCTGATTGACTTCCTCAGAAGTCCACAGGAGACGGTCCAGTTTCCACTGGGTAAGCTTTTCATATAAAAGTTTACTTTTTAGGGCATATGAGTCAATCCATAAGCATCAATATCCAACTAATCCTAGAAATTTTCTGAGTTATTGCTTAGTTTGAGGCAAGGGTAAGGACACGATGCCTTCAACTCGTTCAGGTCCTATCCTTTGCTTACCTGCACTTATTAAGTGGCCTAAATATTTAACTTCAGGCTCCACATACTGAAGCTTTCCCTTTAAGAACCATAACCCCTCGAACTCCAGATGGTTAAGGATATGTGTAGAGAAGCCAGCTACTTTCTCTACATCTTCAACAGATACGAGAATATCATCCATGTACTGGAGCAGGCATATTTGCTTTGGGATGACAACTTTTTCTAACACTTGTTCTAAAATTTGACCAAAAAGGTTTGGAGAGTCTGTAAACCCTTGAGGTAAAACTGTCCATCAATAATGTTGTTTTCGCCCTGAATGGGGATCCTACCACTCAAAAGCAAATATGTCTCAGCTGTCTTCAGCCAAGGGGCATGCCCAGAAGGCATCTTTTAAATCTATTACTGTAAACAACTGATGGTTTTTTGGAATTTTGCTGAGAATGGTGTATGGGTTGGGGACAACAGGATGGTTAGTTTGGACTATTTGATGGCTCTAAGATCTTGTACCAAGTCGGTATGACGCATCTAATTTCTTGACTGGCAATATTGGAGTGTTATACGGGGACATACAGGGTTCAAGGAGCCCATCTTTAATAAGACTTTCAATTATAGGCTTTAATCCTATCCTGCCCTCTAGGGGTTTGGGGTATTGTTTCCTCCTTACTACTTCCCTGGGGATTCTTAACTTGATGTGGATTGGAGGGATTCAGAGTTTCTCCCGGTTTCCTTCCCTTGACCAGACACTAGGATTAATGCATTTTTCATCTGTGGTGGTGAGTAGGTTTAATGAGGTAAAGAATCCTTTAGGACCAACTTGTAAGCCTGTGCCTAATTCTAGCATTAAGTCTCTTCCTAATAGATTAGTTTCTGCCTCAGGGATCAACAAAAATTGGATATGAGTCAGCCGATCTTGGTATTTAACTTCTGTACTTTCTAAGATTTTTGCTTTAAATCCTTCTCCTTTTACCCCAGAGACTAAAAGTTCTTCTGAAGAGCAGGCAATGTTGGATGGGGGGAAGCAAATGGAGGAGCGAGCCACTCCTGAATTGACTAAAAGGTGATAAGCTCATGTTTGGTTCCCACCTGTAAATTTATCAAGGGCTCCTGGTGGGACTCGAGATAAACAGAGCCCCTGACCCCCCTGTTCTTCCTCAAAAGTCATGAGTTGAAGGGCTTCTTTCTCCTTTTCCAGTTTGGGACATTCTCTTTTGAAGTGGCCTGCCCTTCAAACGGTCTGGACGGACCGTTTATAGTTTCTGGCCCCCTGGAAGCTTTGTTTAGAAGCATAAACGAGGGTCTGGACCTTTTATAGTTTCTGGCCCCCTGGAAGCTTTGTTTAGAAGCATAAACGAGGGTCTGGACCTTTTATAGTTTCTGGCCCCCTGGAAGCTTTGTTTAGAAGCATAAACGAGGGTCTGGACCTTTTATAGTTTCTGGCCCCCTGGAAGCTTTGTTTAGAAGCATAAATGAGGGTCTGGACCTTTTATAGTTTCTGGCCCCCTGGAAGCTTTGTTTAGAAGCATAAACGAGGGTCTGGACCTTTTATAGTTTCTGGCCCCCTGGAAGCTTTGTTTAGAAGCATAAATGAGGGTCTGGACCGTCTATCGTTTCTGGCCCCCTGGAAGCTTTGTTTAGAAGCATGTGGGTGTGGGGCCACCTGCTGGAAAGTGGATAACGTGAGTTTTTGCCTTTTGTTTTTGCTTCTTTCCTCACATATATTTTTTGAGCTTCTCCCAGAAGTTCACTTAGAGGTTGGTTTTCCCAGTCTTCTAATTTTTGTAACTTTTTTGAAATATCTGGCCAACTTGTAGTGACAAAATGGAGCTTTAACACTCCCTGTCCAAGGAGATCTTCCAAATTTAGGCCTGCATATTGTCTTGTTTGGTCCTTTATTCTTGTCTAGAAATTTCATAGGCCCCCTCATCTTTTTCCTATTGTATATCAAATGCTTTAGAGAGGTTTTGGGTTCAGGGTACTGATTCCCTAATTCCCTTTATTATCATTTCCCTTAGGTCTTGCATATTTTCCCAGTGAGCTGCATTAATATCGTCCCACCGGGGGTCTTGGGTGGGAAACTTTTGATCTGCGGTAGGAATGTTTGACCAGGAGGGTGTTCGTGTTCCCAAATTGCCATAGCAGCCCTACAGATCATGCTTCTTTCCTCCCCTGAAAAGAGGACGCAGGCCGGGCGCGGTGGCTCACGCCTGTAATCCCAGCACTTTGGGAGGCCGAGGCGGGTGGATCATGAGGTCAGGAGATCGAGACCATCCTGGCTAACAAGGTGAAACCCCGTCTCTACTAAAAATACAAAAAAAATTAGCCGGGCGCAGTGGCGGGCGCCTGTAGTCCCAGCTACTCGGGAGGCTGAGGCAGGAGAATGGCGTGAACCCGGGAAGCGGAGCTTGCAGTGAGCCGAGATTGCGCCACTGCAGTCCGCAGTCCCGCCTGGGCGACAGAGCGAGACTCCGTCTCAAAAAAAAAAAAAAAAAAAAAGAAAAGAGGACGCCTAGGATGGACATTAACTCCACCCAAGTGTATAACTGAGGTCCTAAGAATTGATCAACCTGATCTGTTACCCAATAAGGTCATCCAATAACGGCTTAAGTTCCTTCTTCAAACTTCAGACCTCTGAACTGGTTAAGGGAGCATTCACAAAATTAATAGCCCCCCTGTCCTTGTGGCACCTCTTTTAAGGGGAAGAGAGTTGGGGCTGACTCCATAGATGTGGAGGGAAATGGGAAATTTTGGATATCTTTTTTACATTGTTCTACCTCACGTTGGAGTCCTTTTAGGGAGGGGTACTTAGGCTGAGAAGGAACAGGCTAATGGGATGGTGATTCCCAAGAATCAGGATTGTAAGGAGGAGGAATAACATGAGCAGGAGAAGGATCTGGAGCAGGAACGGGGACAGCAGCTGCTACCTGAGGGGAAGGGTTAGGGGCACTGAGCGTGGGGGAAGATGGTTTAGAGGATCCCATGTGCTGGAGTCTTTAGGCATGGGGACTGGCTTTTCTCACTCTTCAGTTTGAGGTGCTAGATTGGGTTTTTCCCTAGTTGTCTTTAAGGGAAAGAGGAGGACAGGTCCCTGCCTCCAACAAAGAGCATAGGCCAATTCTTCTTGAGAAACTGGACTTTTATCATTTACATATTGAATTAGAAGTTGACACATCACATCCTTGTTCAACCCAAACTTTGACCAAAAGATTGAGGGTTTGAGGATGGGTCCCTGAGTCCAAATAAAACAGCAATTGTTTGTCATTTGTTGCTTTTTCTTATGTTTAGTTCTCTCATTATCTTTCCAATATTTTAACATGAGACCTAGGGGACTAACAGCAGGAATATCTTTATTGCTGTCTTTATCCTTTTTACTCCGTGTCCTGCTTGGGGTGTTTCCCATGTTGGGTCCTAGTTAGGCTCAGTCCCTCATATTAGAGATTTCTTGCCTATCCTTTTCTGGAGGCTTGCTGAGGCTCAATCCCTCGTATTAGAGATTTCTTGCCTCTCCTTTTCTGGAGGCTTATTGAGGCTCAATTCCTCATACTAGAGATTTCTATCCTTTAGCCCCACCTGCTGGAGGCTCCTTGCACCCTTCTTTTGCTTCGTCCACTCTGGTCGCTTCCCGGAGGGGAATTTAGGTCCCTCTTACCTTTGGCACGCCCATATAAACCCCATGGCAGGATCTGTCCTAAGCCATATGAGGTGACCATGGAACCTCAGATAGGACACACTCATTCCGCACAGCAGTAGTGCTTAGTACCATTCACACAAGCAGCACCGCAAGCAGTAATGCTTGTGATCATTCATACACACTTTCAATCTCCAGAATATCTTGACCACCAAGGAAATGCTTTGTCACCCCTGTGACGTTTCTTACCTTGGTCTGTGCACAAAGTTACCTGGTCACCATGGTGTTGCAAGCCTTTTTTTCCCCACATTGCTGAGAGTCCGGATTTATTCGTCACACCGGGTGGGTTCCGATCCCTCACCCTGAGGCCACCGCAACGAGGCAGTGGGATGCGTCTCCTTATGAGAGGTGACCAGAGACCCCTTCCCTGGAGGAGAATGGGAATCCTGGATGAGCCCCAGATTTGTTGGAGATAAATGCTCAGTGCTGCAAAGTGAAACCAGCACTGAGGCGAAAGTTTTCTCAGCAAGGCAGTTTACTTCTGCAGAAGGGTGCTGCTTGTGTCAATCACGATTGCAAGAGCACACTGAACAAAGGAAAGCAGGGGTTTTTATTCCTAATGCAATCCCTCCCTCTGTGTCACTCCTTCATGGGCTGTGGTTGGACTGCACAATCTAAACTGACCCGACTGGCTATTTGTGAATACTTTCCCAAATAAGGAAGGGAAGGGAAATGTGAGTTACAGTGGTGGGACGTGCGGTTTCGAAGGGAGGAAGGGGTGAAGAGTGGGTAACCAAGGGAACAGATGTGAGTTATTGATTAGAACTGACAGGAAGGTTGTTTACAGTTACAGTAACTAGGGGCAAGGAGGCATAGAGAACAAGAAAGTTGAGTTTGAGAACAAAGAACAAGGAAGTTAACAGGCTAAACCTTTGAAGAGGAATTTTATTGTATCCTACATACTTGTTCTAGTCTGTTGTTGACACTTTCCAGTGCATTTTTTATTTCTTTAAGTGTGTCTTCCATTTGCAGAAATTGTGATTTTTTTTTCTTTATAATATCTGTTTCTCTGGAGAATTTTTCATCCATAGCCTGTATTTTTTTTGTTGTCTTTTTCTTTCTTTCTTTCTTTCCTTTTTGAGACTCTGAGCACTCTGTTGCTCACAGTGCAGTGGTGCAATCTCAGCTCACTGCAACCTCTGGCTCCTGGGTTCACGCAATCCCCCTGCCTCAGTCTCCCAAATAGCTGGTATTACAGGCACGCACCACCATGCCTGGCTGATTTTTGTATTTTTAGTAGAGATGGGGTTTCACTGTGTTGGCCAGGCTGGTCTGAAACTCCTGACCTCAAGTGATCAGCCCGCCTCAGCCTTCCAAAGTGCTGGGTTTACAGGTGTGAGCCACTGCGCCTGGCCAATCCATAGCCTGTATTGTTTTTTACATTTCTTTGTTTTCACTTTTCTCTGGTCTCTCCTTGAGTAGTTTAATAATCAACCATCTGAATTGTTTATCTGGCAATTCAGAGATTTCTTCTTGATTTGCATTCATTGCTGGGGAGCCAGTATGGTCTTTTGGAGGTGTTATAGAACCTTGTTTTGTCATATTACAATTTTTCTGATTTCTTCTCACTTGGGTAGACTATTTCAGGGGAAAAATCTGGAACTCAGGGGCTACTGTTCAGATTCTTTTGTCCCACAAAGTGACCCCTTGATGTGATGCATTCTCACTTCCCCTAGGGATGGAGCTTCGTGAGAGCCAGACTGTAGTGATTGCTATTGCTCTTCTGGGTCCAGCCACCCAGTGGGGCTACCAGGTTCCAGGCTGGTGCTGAGGAATGTCTGCAAAGAGTCCTGTGATGTGATCCGTCTTTAGCTCTCCTGGCCATGGACACCAGCACCTGCCCTGGTGGAGGTGGGAGGGGAGTAAAGTAGACTGTGAGTGTGAGAGTCCTTGCTTGTAGTTTTGTTTACTGTGCTGGCTTTCTCAAATGCTGGTTATGCTAGCAGTGAAGTTGTCACGTGGACAGACTCAGGAGCTCTGGTTAGCCAGGATGTTGAAAGCAGTGGAATTAGCTGTTTCTCATTTCTTGGAGCAGGGTTATTCTGTTGTGAGTTGCTGTAATGTCCTGACTTGGTTGGCCTCCAGCCAGGAGGTGGCGCTTTCAAGAGAACACCAGCTGCAATACTGGAAGGGGGATATAAGCTTGCCCTAAGTTGGCCAGGATAAGTATTAGGATTTCTCAGGTGATGGACAGGGCCATAAAGCTCCCAAGAGTTTATGGCTTTTGTGATCAGCTACCAGGGCGGGTAGAGAAATACTGTCAGGTTGGGGCAGGGTTAGGTGAGTCTGAGCTCAGACTCTTTCTGGGAATCTGTTACTGATTTGTAATTTTTAATTCCACAGTGTTTGAAGGACATACTTGAAATAAATTTAAAATCCATTGAGATTTGTTTCGTGGTCCAGAATATGGCCTATCTTGGTGAATGTTTCATGTGTATGTGAAACTGAGGCATCCATCCCTCAGTTTCAACCACCCATAGATTTGTAATTATTGTTACATTTACAGAAATTTGCAGGAAGGTAGAAGTTATTGTCTTGAACCATAAAATGTCTGTTTGAAGTCTTTGAGCTCCTCAAGGGTAGGCTGTATGTCCTGTTTACCTTTGATCCTCTCAGCATAATGCTTGGACCAAAATGGAAGCTCAGCAGACACTGGTTGAATGAATGAATAGATGACATTCAATTGTTAGGCTGTGTTCTTGTTTTGGATTTAGAAAATATGCTTATTGTGTTATGCAGTAAGACTGAGTCTTGGCTGGGTGCAGTGGCTTACGCCTGTAATCTCAATACTTTGGGAGGCCGAGGCGGGTGGATCACTTGACGCCAGGAGTTTGAGACCAGCCTGGCCAACATGACAAGACCCTGTCTTTACTAAAAATACAAAAAAATTAGCTGGGCATGGTGATGCACACCTGTAATCCCAGCCACTCGGTAGCCTGAGGCATGAGAATCTCTTGAACCTGAGAGGTGGAGGTTGCAGTGAGCCATGATCATGCCACTGCACTCCAGCCTGGGCAACAGATCAAGACTCAGTCTTAAAGACAAAAAAAAAATACTGAGTCTTACACACTTTTGCATCTTTGTGTCTCTATGGGTCTTCACACAGAGCTTGGCACATTGTAGCTGCTCAGTCAGCACTGTTTGTGCTGAATTGAAACAATGAGATATGTACAAAGGGGCTGTCTCTCACTACTGGGGATTTAAAGCCACCCCGAGGCATTTGACAAGCTGTTCTGGCCAAGGTTGAAGAGGTTGTCCTGTCATAAAGCCCCCCTAAGACACGATGTCACACATAGACACCACTCTCTGTGCGAAAGGGGGGGCCTGTGCACTGAACTCCCAGACTTAGCTGGGCCTCAGTGCTCTTCTTGGGTTTGGTCATAGAGCCCAAGAGGAGGTGGATAAGCTGCCTGACACTGATATGGTAAAAGGATTATCTGCAAATTTCTAGCGTCATCAAGACTGGCCTCTTTGGTAAGCAGGCCTAAAAGGCTGCCCTCAATAAACCACCCAAGCAGGTGAAAATTATCTTTTTACCCCAAGCCTACCTTTTCTACATCCTTTTCTACTTGACATGCCCCTTCTACTCCTCTTCTCTCCTTTAGGACTCATTCTCTCTCCTTTCCTCCTCTAAACCTCCTCCCAGAAAAAGACCTGATAACTTCACTTACACCGGGTTATAGATGACTAACAAAGCTTACTATTGAATATGTTGCTAGTAGAAATCTGAATAAGATACAGCAACTTTTCAACTCTGATCATGGCTTTAAGCACTAGGATGAACCACAGCCATGTAATCATTCATTTGGTTACTTAGCTCTTGCTGTGTCCCACGCATAGGGGCAGCTACTGGGGGTTTGACAGTGGACGGACCTAAAGTGGTCCCTCAGTCAGGGGACAGTACAGTACCCTAAGAGCACTGAGGAGGGCCACCCCACGTGAACTCAGGTAGTCAGGGGAGCCCTCCTGAAAGCCATGGAGAAACACATTCTAGGTAGATAACAGCACATGCAAAGGCCTAGAAGTGAGTGTCTGAGGTGGAAGTTCAGAGTCTTTGTCGTCAGCAGGACATGGAGCAACACTTGACACTGAGATTTAGGCAGAGAGAGACAGAGAGACAAAGAGAGATAGAGAGACAGAAACAGATACAGAGACAGAGTTAGAGATACAGAGAGATAGACAGAGACAGAGACAGAGATAGAGACAGAGCTAGAGATACAGAGAGAGACAGAGATACAGAGAGAGAGACAGATAGAGATACACAGAGAGAGGCAGAGACAGAAATAGAGACTGAGAGAGGCAGAGACAGAAATAGAGACTGAGAGAGGCAGAGACAGAAAGAGAGACAGAGATAGAGACTGAGAGATAGAGAGAGAGAGGAGTGGGAGGCAGGAGGAAAACCAGAGCATGAGAGGTCAAGCAGCCAAGAGAAAAGGCGAGGTCGTTAAAGAAAGGGTCAGCTGGGGCCGGGTGCAGTGGCTCATGCCTGTAATCCCAGCACTTTGGAAGACCGAGGCAGGCGGATCACGAGGTCAGGAGATCAGGACCATCCTGGCTAACATGGGGAAACCCCGCCTCTGCTAGTAAATACAAAAAAATTAGCTGGGCCTCGTGGCGGGCCGCCTGTAGTCTCAGCTACTCGGGAGGCTGAAGCAAGAGAATGGTGTGAACCCGGGAGGCGGAGCTTGCAGTGAGCCGAGATCACGCCACTGCACTCCAGCCTGGGCGACAGAGCGAGACTCCGTCTCAAAAAAAAAAAAAAAAAGAAAAAAAGGAAAGAGTCATCTGGGTTTGGTGACTAGGAGCGTACTGGTGACCTCAGTGAGAGGGGTTTCAGAGGCTTATGGAGACAGATGCAGGTTGAAGTGGGTTGTGGAGCGCGGGAGAGGTAGAAAGCAGTAAACACACCCCCCTGCCAACACCGCTCTCAGGAGACTGGTGTGAAGGGTAGGGGTCAGGACGCTAGCTGGAGAAGGAATATGGGTTCAAGGGAGAAGGGCTTTTTTCTTTTTAATAGAAGAGATCAGCAATGTGTTTAGATGCTGATGGAAGGAGCCAGAAAAAAGGAAAAGGAGAATATTGAGGTGAGACGAGATCTCCAAATGCCCAGGTGAGAAGACCAGATGAAATGGGGCACAGGAGTAGGGCTAGCTTTGGAGAGGGAGGGGAGCCTCCTCCCCTCATCCCCTGGAAGAGGAAATGGCCTATGAGAAGCCGGTGAGTGAATGGGTTTGGTGGCAGCAAGTTGAGGAAATGCCCATCTGATGGTGCCTATGCTCTCTGCTGAAAGTGAGGAAGACGGGGTGGAGTTAGAGGTTAAAGAGAGAATCTAAGGGCCGGGCACTGTGAGGAGGGCAAGGCAGGATTGGTGGAGCCCAGGAGTTCAAGACCAGCCTGGGCAACATAGACCCTGTCTCTACAAAAAAATTAAAAATTAGCTGGGTGTGGTGAGGTGTGCCTGTGGTCCCAGCTACTCAGGAAGCTGAGGTAGAAGGATCACTTGAGTGCAGGATGTTAAGGCTGCAGTGAGCTGGGATCACGCCACTGCACTCCAGCCTGAGTGACACAGCAAGACTCTGTCTTTAAAAAAAAAAAAAAGTGGCTGGCCTCGGTGGCTCACGCCTATAATCCCAGCACTTTGGGAGGCCGAAGCGGGTGGATCACCTGAGGTCAGGAGTTTGAGACCAGCCTGGCCAACATAGTGAAACCCCGTCTCTACTAAAAATACCTTAAACCCAGGAGGTGGATGTTGCAGTGAGCCGAGATCGTGCCAGTACACTCCAGCCTGGGCGACAGAGACTCCGTCTCAGAAAAAAAAAAATCCTCCATAGTCACCTGTAGTCAGCCCTTCCTCCTACTCCCACACCCTGGCAATCAGTGAACAGTTTCCTGTTCCTGTGGTTTTGACTTTGCAAGATTGTCATATAAATGGAAACGTATGGTAGCCTTTTCAGTCTGGTTTATTTTACTTAGCACAAAGCATTTGAGATTCATCTAGTCACGTGTATCCGTAGTTTGTTCCTTTTATTGAGTGGTGGTCCGTTGTATGGATGTTCCAGAACATTTGGACTATTTCTAGTTTGGGGCATAAAATGACTATTAATAAATATTCACGTACAAGTTTTGTGTGTACATAGATTTTCCTTATACTTGAGTAAAGAGCAAGCAGTGGAATTTTTGGGTCATATGGTAAGTGTAAGTGTAAGTTTAATTTTGTAAGAAACTCAAACTTTTTCAAAGCGGCTGTCTCACCAGCAATAACCGAGAGGTTCCAGT
The DNA here is from genome assembly GCF_000001405.40 of Homo sapiens. Lineage (NCBI taxonomy): Eukaryota > Metazoa > Chordata > Mammalia > Primates > Hominidae > Homo > Homo sapiens. Next base: position 43,640 of record NW_003315971.2, read on the forward strand.
TGTTCTACATCCTCTCCAGCATTTGTTATCTTTGAAAGCCATTCTAAAAGGCATATTTCAATTTTTATTAGATCGGTATTGAAGATTTACATTATTAAACTATGTAAACAGGCCAGGCGTGATAGTTTACACCTATAATCTCTGCACTTTGGGAGGCGAAGGCAGGAGGATCACTTGAGCTCAGAAGTTCCAGGCCAGCCTGGTCAACATAGTGAGACTCTGTACAAAAAATAAATAAATAAATCAGAAAAAAATTAGCTAGGTCAGGCACAGTGGCTCATGACTGTAATCCCAACTACTTGAGAGGTCAACATGGGAGGATCGCTTGAGTCCAGGACTTCGAGACCAGCCTGGACAACATTGGGAGACACTGTCTATTTAAAAAAAAAAATTAGCTGAGTGTGGTGGTGCCCTGTGATCCCAGCTACTAAGGAGGCTGAGGTAAGAGAGTCACTTACTTGAGCACAGGTTGTGGAGGCTGCAATGAAACGTGATCACTGCACTCCAGTCTGGGCAACAGAGCAAGACTCTTTCTCAAAACAAAAAATGTAGACAGTAGTCCCAGTTGAGTCATGATTTTAGTTTTTCTTCTTCTCTTTCTTTAGTTTTTTGTGCATCTATTATATAATTAATTCATCCAAATTTTCTGCCAAAAATAGAAATCTCTTTGCAGTACATTTAGACAGATCACGTCATTTCTCCATATGATCATTTTCATGGAGACATACCTCAGGAGCCCTCCATCTCCCTGATTCCATCTGGATGGGGCACCCTGGAGGTCTGCTGCCCAGCTGTCCTCCTGAGCTCCCCATTCACCCTTATGCTCAGGGGCTCTCCCTGCCTGTTGTGCTGGGTCCCATGTTATCTTCTTTTCTATTTCTCCTTTATTTTAGTGAAGTACAACCTCCGGTTGCTTCCTGAGGGGTAGTCTTGAGACATTTATGTATCCGAAAAGACCTCAATTCATACTTGCATAGCATTTGGCTAGGTATAGAATTCTAGATTGGAAATATTTTCTCTCAGATTTTGAAGGTCTTCATTATCTTATAGCTTCAAAGGTTGGTGTTGAGAAGTCTGATGAATATTGAATTCCTGAAGCTCAGACTTTTTTCTCTCTGGAAGTTTTTGGGTTCCACTCTGTCCTCAGTGTTGTGAAATTTCTTGACAACAAAATTGGGGCTGGGTCCCCTTCATTCATTGTCATGAACACTTGGTGTTTCCTTCTCTACTGGAAACTCATGTTCTTCCTCTGTGAGAACTTGTCTTGACAAAAAAGAAACGTATTTATTAGACATCTTTCCTTGCCTCCTAGTCTGTTGTCTCTGCTGCCTGTTTCAGAAACATCTAAACAACAATTTAGCTGTTGGAGCTCCTGACCTCTTCTCTGTTCTTTCTGGAAAATATTTTTTTCAAGTTTAGCTTCTATACTTTGATTAGATTTTGCATTCCTATTATTATATTTTTTATTTTTAAGGCAAGGTCTTTCTCTGTTGCCCAGGCTGGAGTGCAGTGGCACGATCACAGTTCACTGCAGCTTTGTTCCTGGACTCAAGTGATCCTCCCACCTCAGCCTCCCAAGCAGCTGGAACTACAGGTGTGTGCCACCACACCCAGCCAGTATTTTAATTTTTTGTAGAGATGGGGTCTCCTTAGGTGGCCCAGGCTGGTGTTGAATTCCTAGGCTCAAACAATCCTCCTGCCTTAGCCTCCCAAAATGCTGGGATTACAGGCATGAGCTAAGGCACCCAGACTATATTTTTGTCAAGAATTAGTGGTGGTGGGTGTTTGAACATTTTTATTTTAGACCCTCCTATTCTTATTTCATGAATGCAAAGTTTTATCTTTCTAAAGATATCAATTATAGATTTTTTTTTTAAGACAGTTTCACTCTTGTTGACCAGGCTGGAGTGCAATGATGCGATCTCGGCTCACTGCAGCCTCTGCCTCCCAGGTTCAAGCAATTCTCCTGCCTCAGCCTCCTGAGTAGCTGGGATTACAGGCACCCACCACCACGCCCAGCTAATTTTTTGTATTTTTAGTAGAGACGGGGTTTCACCATGTTGGCCAGGCTGGTCTCGAACATCTGACCTCAGGTGATCCACCCATCTCGGCCTCCCAAAGTGCTGGGATTACAGGCGTGAGCCACCCTGCCCAGCCCAATTATAGATTTTTTAGGTTTAGGTGTTGACAGTAGCTCTCACCTCAGCCTGTTCTCTCTCCTTGTCATGCAGCCCACAGGGGAGATGGTCAGGCCAGTGTGGGGGCTAATGAATAAATGCTACACTGTGCCCACTCAGGTGGGTAAGGGCTGGCACTCCTCTTCCCCTGGAGTGGGGCGGCTGTGCTGGCACCCTTGGCAGACACAGTAAGGGGGACTGCACCTGGAAAGGATGGGCCAGTCGGGGCAGGACTACTCATCACTCATAGTGTGGGTGTCAGGGTTGTGTCACCCCTCCCACCTCCCTCTGCAGAGACGCAAAGTCAAGAGTAGGAAGAAGCCAACCTCTGAGGTAAGGCTTCCCCTGGAAGGCCCAGGGCTGGGGCTCTCTCCTTTCAGAGCTCAGTTAGACCCAGACACACGGCAGGGAGTCCCAAGGGTAGTGGCAGGCCCCCTCCAGGAAACTCACAAGGTTACCACAGCTCAACTGAAAAGGAAGAACTTCCCAGGACTGTGACACCCCAGTGTGAGAACAGGAGGATGAGGTGCTCTGAAGGCCTTTCTGCCCAGTCTGCCCTCTTATTCCTCCTGCAGGTCACGACCCCCAGGAGACCTGGAGGACTGAATGCTGCTGCCCCCAAGGAGGAGGCTGCCGTCTTATCCCAGGAGGGAGAGCAGGTGAAGTCCCCAGGGGAGGAAGCACCTAGCCCCATTCCTGCTGAGCAGGAGGTGGCAGGTACCCCAGACTGGGAGGTAAGGACAGCCCGGGGCTTCGACTGAACGTCTCCAGCGTGGGTCCAACTGAGCAGCCATGGAGCACTGCAGAGTGGGAGGCAGCAGGGCAGGGAGGCAGTGCTGGAGGCTGGCTCAACCCCAAGACCAGCAGGCCAAGCTGCCATCCCAGGGGAGCGAGGACGTCTGTGCAGAGCTGAGAGGCAGCAGCCATGTGTGAACAGACTGGGCCTCATCCTGGCCCCACCGACTTTGTGTGGACAGAGCCTGTTTCCCTGTCTGTGCAACACAGAACCTGCCTGATCTCACTGCTGGATCCCTCTTCTTCCTGCCAGGAAAATAAAAAGGTTCAAAAGGAAGTTGCTGCGTATCCATCTGGTAAGACCACTGACCCAGCGTGCTGCAGGGGGCTGCTTCCACCCTGCTTCTCAGTGACTGCCAGGGTCACAGACACCCCAGCCCTTTCCCACCTTCCTGACCTGGGGAGGGGAGGGGAGGGAAGCAGCCCAGGAGTCAGGTGCCTTGACCTTCCTGGGAGCCTCCTTGGGTGGGCAGGAACTCTGGGCCACTCCCCTGAGCTGGCTGCATCCCTACCTTTCACCACAGCTGACCTGGCCCCGGGGCATCTCAGAGGGAGGGTTGGTTGCTCCCAGGAGGGGACTCACAAGGCTGCCTGTTTCTACTTTGCAGAGGCCTCTGAGGACAGCAAAGAGCAAAGGCCCTGGGACCGGGTCTACGTGCCCATGACAGAGCTCTGGCTGGACTGGTTCTGAGCCTCTAACACCCCCAAGACTCAGAACCGTGAAGAAAATCTTTCCAATAAATCCAAGAGTTGCTGCTGCTATAGGCCAGGCTGCCACCTTTCGGGGCCTCCGTCTTCAGACAAACCCAGCCTGGCTTCATCCACACTCCCTGTCCCCACAGCTGCAGGAACAGCACTTCCTGCCACCGAGCCGTGTGACCACAGTGGATTGTCTCTGGAGGGGCCCAAGGGGGCCCTGGCCACCCTTCTGACTGACTCGGTGCCAGGGGACAGACCAACGTCCCTCTCGTGCTGACAGCCGGGCCGCACCCTGGCATGAGGGCATTTACAGAAATGCTGGCGGAACTGCTGCCAGGGAGGCTGTAGGGTCCTCTGGCAAAAGAGGCCTCAGGTGGCTCCTCAGAGTGTCTGTGGTTCTCTGTCCCAGGCTGTTCCCTAAGAAGGTCTGCCCAGGACTCAGGTAATCATATGCTCATTAGAAACTCTTGGGCACTGCCTGTGTGCCCAGCCCAGCCCATTATGTCGGTGAGGACAGACGTGGAGGACAGCAGTCCCTGCCCTTGGTTGGGGCTCCAGGCCAGCAAGGGCCACAGCCCCAGAAGGCAGAGCAGGAAGACAGGACTCGGGGCAGGTGAAGCAGCCTTCTCGTTGGCAGAAGGGAAACAGAAGCCCGGGGTGGGGAAGGGTGGGGAAGGGTGGGGAAGGGTGGGCCCGGGGTCACACGGGGTAATGGCAGAGCAAGGACTAGGGTCAGGGTCTCTGGCTCTCAGCTGCCCATGCCACCTCCTCCTTCTCTGCCCGCCCCAGTGCCTTATGGGTCCAAGGTTGACTCCTGTCCCTAGGGCAGGCCTGTGGGCCCTGCCTGATCCCTACTGGGAGGATGGTACCTAGGGTTGGAGCCAAACAAGTGTCCTCCTCCAGCGCCAGCCTGGCCCTGAGTGCGAACTCGTCACTGGTCAGGGGTCCAGACAGCAGCATCCCTGAGGGCCCAGAGAGGTGGCCAGTCCTGTGGTGAGGTTGAGAGGTGTCAACGTGCTGGTGGTCCTCGCTCGCTCTCAGCGCCTCCTCGGCCTCAGCTTCTGCTCTGACCACACTTGAGGAGCCCTTCAGCCCAGCGCTGCACTGTGGGAGCCCCTCTCTGGACTGGTGGAGGCTGGAGCCGGCTCCGTCTGCTTGCGGGGAGGTATGGAGGGAGAGGCGTGTGCGGGAACCTGGGTTGCTCGCGGGCCAGCACCAGTTCTGGGTGGGCAGGGGCTCAGCGGGCCCTGCACTCGGAGCGGCCGGCTGGTGCCTCTGGCCCCAGGCAGTGAGGGGCTTAGCACCTGGGCCAGCAGCTGCAGAGGGGGCACCGGGTCCCCCAGTACTGCTGGCCTGCCGGCGCTCACCACACTTGAATTGTCGCCAGGCCTCAGTCACCTCCCCGCGGGGCAGGGCTCAGGACTTGCAGCCTGCCATGCCCAAGCCTCCCTACGGTGGGCTCCCTGCGAGGCCCGAGCCTCCCGGATGGGTGCCTCCCACTGCTCCACGGCACCTGGTCCCGTCCACTGCCCAAGGGCTGAGGAGTACAGGTGCCCGGTGTGGGACTAGCAGGCAGCTCTGCCTGTGGCCCTGGCATAGGATCCACTAGGCGAAGCTGGCTGGGCTCCTGAGTCAGGTGGGGACTTGGAGAACTTTTATGTCTAGCCAGAGGATTGTATATGCACCAATCAGCACTCTGTGTCTAGCTCCGGGTTCGTGCATGCACCAATTAGCACTCTATCTAGCTAATCTGGTGGGGACTTGGGGAACCTTTATTTCTAGCTAAAAGATTGTAAATACACCAATCAGCACTCTGTGTCTAGCTCAAGGTTTGTAAACACACCAGTCAGCACCCTGTGTCTAACTCAAGGTTTGTAAACGCACCAATCAGTGCTCTCTGTCTACTCTATCTAGCTAATCTAGTGGGGACTGGGACAACCTTTATGTCTAGCTAAGGGATTGTAAATACACCATTCAGCACTCTGTGTCTAGCTCAAGGTTTGTAAATATACCAATCAGTACTCTGTGTCTAGCTCAGGGATTGTAAATGCACCAATCAGCTCTCTGTAAGTGGACCAATCCACTGTCTGTAAAATGGGCCAATCAGCAGGATGTGGGTGGGGGTCAGATAAGGGAATAAAAGCAGGCTGCCTGAAGTAGCAGCGGCAACCTGGTTGCCATCATTCTTTTGCTGTTTGCAGTAAGTCTTGCTGCTGCTGCTCCCTCATTGGGTCCACACTGCCTTTATGAGTTGTAACACTGGAAGGACTGCAGTTTCACTCCTGAGGCCAGTGAGACCACAAACCCACCAGGAAGAATGAACAACTCCGTACGTGCAGCCTTAAGAGCCGTAACACTCACTGTGAAGGTCTGCAGCTTCACTCCTGAAGCCAGCAAGACCACGCACCCACCAGAAGGAAGAAACTCTGAACACGTCTTAACATCAGAAGGAACAAACTCTGAACACACCATCTTTAAGAACTGTAACACTCACCGTGAGGGTCCACGGCTTCATTCTTGAAGTCAGTGAGACCAAGAACCCACCAATTTTGGACACAAGGTGACAGGCTGAGGGCGGTGGCTCGGTCCTGGGTTTTCCTGGGGCCTTCCCAGGGAATGTTCTGGCACCTGCCGACTGAGCCCTGGGAGGTAGCCCTGGCATATAGCTCCCTGACATGATTTGTCTTCCATTTTGGGGTGTCATATATGAAGGGAGGTGACTGTTGTGATGGTGCTGGCAGGACTGCTGTCCCTGATGTGGGGTGGGCTGAGTTAGGCCTGAAATATGGGCCTCCAGGCTGAGTCCTGCCCTCTCCACCACATCCAGGGCTGACTGACACCTCTAGTCAGCCCATTCTGGCCCCTTCCCCACATGCCAGGACAATGTAGTCCTTGTCACCAATCTGGGCAGTCAGAGTTGGGTCAGTGGGGGACATGGGATTATGGGCAAGGGTAACTGACATCTGCTCAGCCTCAACGTACCCGTCTCAAATGCGGCCAGGCGGTGGGGTAAGCAGGAATGAGGCAGGGGTGGGGTTGCCCTGAGGAGGATGATCCCAACGAGGGCGTGAGCAGGGGACCCAAGTTGGAACTACCACATTGCTTTATTGTACATTAGAGCCTCTGGCTAGGGAGCAGGCTGGGGACTAGGTACCCCATTCTAGCGGGGCACAGCACAAAGCTCGTAGGGGGATGGGGTCACCAGAAAGCTGACGACACGAGAGTGGCTGGGCCGGGGCTGTCCGGCGGCCACGGAGAAGCTGAAGTGCTGCAGCAGGGAGGTGAAGAAGAGGAAGAGCTCCATGCGGGCCAGGGGCTCCCCGAGGCATGCACGGCGGCCTGTGGGGAGGGGAGGGGCGTCAGTGAGCCTGGCTCCTGGGTGATACCCCTGCAAGACTCCACGGAAGGGGACAGGGAGCCGGGCTCCCCACAGGCACCTGCTGAGAAAGGCAGGAAGGCCTCCGGCTTCACAAAGTGGCCCTGGGCATCCAGGAAGTGTTCGGGGTGGAAGCGGAAGGGCTTCTTCCAGACGGCCTCATCCTTCAGCACCGATGACAGGTTGGTGATGAGTGTCGTTCCCTGGGCAGGAGATGCAGGGTGAGAGTGGGGACTGGACTCTAGGATGCTGGGACCCCTGCCACCAAACACACGGGGGACACACACTGCCTGGCACACAGCTGGACTCTGTCAACTAGTCCTGCGCCCGAGAAGCTCCACAGTACCCTCTCCGACCCCACAGCAGGGCGCAGTCACACCTCTCAGAGGCACCCACACTGCCCCCTCTCCCTGCAGGCGCTGGGTCCTCCAACATTCTGGCAGGTCCTGATTTGTCTTCCCCACTAGACTGGGGCTCTGGATGGACAGGCCAGCCCTGCCTATACTCTGGACCCCCCATCCAAGCGGGGACAGTCAGTGTGGTGGCATTGAGGACTAGGTGGCCAGGGTTCCTAGAGTGGGCCCACCTGGCAGTAGCCATGCTGGGGCTATCACCAGGGGCTGGTGCTGAGCTGGGGTGAGGAGGGCGCCAGGCCTACCTTAGGGATGCGGAAGCCCTGTACTTCGATGTCACGGGATGTCATATGGGTCACACTCAGGGGGATGATGTCCCCAAAGCGCTGCACCTCGTGAATCACGGCAGTGGTGCAGGGCATGTGAGCCTGGTCACCCATCTCTGGTCGCCGCACCTGCCCTATCACGTCGTCGATCTCCTGTTGGACACGGACTGGACAGACATGCGTCCCCACAATGGGTCAGCACCCAGGGGACACTCTCCTTCCTCCTGTGTTGGAGGAAGTTAGGCTTACAGGAGCCTGGCCACGCCTGTGCTGGAAGCCCCGGGTGTCCCAGCTAAGCCCAGGGGCCCCCAGCTGTACCCTTCCTCCCTCAGTCCCTGCCTTGGGCCCCAGCTGGGCTCACGCTGCACATCCAGGTGTAGGATCATGAGCAGGAGGCCCCAGGCCAGCGTGGTCGAGGTGGTCACCATCCCGGCAAGGAACAGGTTACCCACCACTATGCGCAGGTTCTCATCATTGAAGCTGCTCTCAGGGCTCCCCTTGGCCTGAGCAGGGCCGAGAGGATACTCAGGGGATAGAACGGGGTAGCCCCCAAATGACCTCCAATTCTGCACCTGTCAGCCCAGATGCGGCTCGCCGGGTGATGCACTGGTCCAACCTTTTGCCCAGCCTCCCCTCATTCCTCCTGGGACGTTCAACCCACCACCCTTGCCCCCCACCGTGGCAGCCACTCTCACCTTCTCCTTCTTTGCCAGGAAGGCCTCAGTCAGGTCTCGGGGTGGCTGGGCTGGGTCCCAGGTCATCCTGTGCTCAGTTAGCAGCTCATCCAGCTGGGTCAGGAAAGCCTTTTGGAAGCGTAGGACCTTGCCAGCCAGCGCTGGGATGTGCGGGAGGACGGGGACAGCATTCAGCACCTACACCAGACAGAACGGGGTCTCAATCCCTCCTGTGCTCTGCGTTCACCTGGACCAGTCTCAGGCCCCAGCCATCTCCAGGAAGACCCAGGGCCTGCCTGTCCTTACCACTGACCTCACCAAGTCCCTCCCCAAGTGCCAGCCTCCACCCTCTCTCTCCTTGCCCAGAGGAGAAACCTAAAATCGAAATCTCCAACGTGGACGGGGGTACAGAGTCCTTGGCCTCTCCTGGTGCCCCCTGACCCGGGCACACCTCTCCCACGACCATGTCTGAGATGTCCCCTCCTCCTCCAGGCCCTTCTTACAGTGGGGTCTCCTGGAATGTCCTTTCCCAAACCCATCTATGCAAATCCTGCCCTTCGGAGGCCCCAGTCCAGCCCCGGCACCTCTCAGGAGCTCGCCCTGCAGAGACTCCTCGGTCTCTCGCTCCGCACCTCGCGCAGGAAGCCCGACTCCTCCTTCAGTCCCTCCTGAGCTAGGTCCAGCAGCCTGAGGAAGCGAGGGTCGTCGTACTCGAAGCGGCGCCCGCAGGTGAGGGAGGCGATCACGTTGCTCACGGCTTTGTCCAAGAGGCCGTTGGGGCGAAAGGGGCGTCCTGGGGGTGGGAGATGCGGGTAAGGGGTTGCCTTCTCCGTCCCCCGCCTTCCCAGTTCCCGCTTTGTGCCCTTCTGCCCATCACCCACCGGCTTGGTCGGCGAAGGCGGCACAAAGGCAGGCGGCCTCCTCGGTCACCCACTGCTCCAGCGACTTCTTGCCCAGGCCCAAGTTGCGCAAGGTGGACACGGAGAAGCGCCTCTGCTCGCGCCACGCGGGCCCATAGCGCGACAGGATCACCCCTGGGGGCGGGACGGGCACGTGGGCGTTGCCATGAAGGCCTTGGCCCCACCCTCCGCCACCCACTCCAACCCTGGCGCTCCACAAGGTCTCCCGCAGTCCCTAGCCCGGTCCAGCTGGGCACAGGGCCCACTCTTTGCTCACCCACATTGCTCCCCTGCCTGGGGCGGGGTTTGGCCCCACCTCGTCTCTGCCCACCCTGACCACCTTTCCACTCAAGGAAGATCCCGCCCGTCCCGCCCACACTGAGCCCGCAGCATAGGCGCGGTCCCCGCCACCGCCACTTCGACGCATCAGCCTCGCCCACCGGGCTTCTGGCGGGTCTGGGCAGTAGCCCCGCCCCCTCCCAGCCCACAGACTCGCACCTCCCCCGTGCAGGTGGTTTCCTGGCCCACTGTCCTCAGCCCACTCGCTGGCCTTTATCTCTGTTTCACGTCCAGGACCCCACGCCCTGTCGGCGCTGCTTGGGCTACGGTCACTGTCCACCCGGGGCCCACGGAAACGCGGTCTCTGTCCCCCACCGCCGCTTGCCTTGGGAACGCGGCCCGAAGCCCAGGACCTGGTAGATGGGCGCAGGCGGGCGGTCGGCCGTGTCCTCGCCGCGGGTCACCATCGCCTCGCGCACGGCCGCCAGCCCATTGAGCACGACCACCGGCGTCCAGGCCAGCTGCAGGCTGAACACGTCCCCGAAGCGGCGCCGCAACTGCAGAGGGAGGGTCAGGGCCTCTTGTCAAGCCAGGATCACCCCAGACTACAGGTCCTAGTCCTATTTGAACCTTGGACGACCCCCGGGGCTACCAGGAGTGAGCAGGTGGAAGGAGGAGACCCAGCCTCCTGATCCTGGGGCGGGGGTGGGGGTCACACCTTCTGTGATGGAGGAACTCAGTTTGGATGCGTCACCCAGGTATGACCTTGCAAGAGTCACCAAAATTGCCGAGAGGCCCCAGTTAGCATCCCATTCCCAGATGATGGTCCATGCCGGTGAGCAGTGAGGCCCGAGGACCCACAGTGCAAAAGGTTTGAACCGGGTCACTGCACCCCCTTCATCCTCGATTTCGTGATTTAAACGGCACTCAGGACTAACTCATCTTCCATTCCCAAGGCCTTTCCTTCTGGTGTCAGCAGAAGGGACTTTGTACTCCATAACATATGTTGCCCAATGGGCTTGCATGCCCACTGCCAAGTCCAGCTCCACCTCCAGGCCCTTGCCCTACTCTTCCTTGGCCTTTGGAAAATCCAGTCCTTCATGCCATGTATAAATGTCCTTCCCCAGGACGTCCCCCAAACCTGCTTCCCCTTCTCAGCCTGGCTTCTGATCCAGCCTGTGGTTTAACCCACCACCCATGTTTGCTGGTGGTGGGGCATCCTCAGGACCTCTGCCGCCCTCCAGGACCTCCTCCCTCACCTGGTCGAAGCAGTATGGTGTGTTCTGGAAGTCCACATGCAGCAAGGTTGCCCAGCCCGGGCAGTGGCAGGGGACCTGGCGGGTAGCGTGCAGCCCAGCGTTGGTGCCGGTGCATCAGGTCCACCAGGAGCAGGAAGATGGCCACTATCATGGCCAGGGGCACCAGTGCTTCTAGCCCCATGGCTGCCTCACTACCAACTGGGCTCCTCTGGACACACCTGGCACCCCCACCCCACCAGGCACAGAGGACCAGGCAGGACACTCTCGGCACACCGAGCGCGTGACCCTTCCCTTATAAAGGGAGCTGATGATGGCCTTCGCCCTCTGCTGTGAGTGAACCTGCTGTGTTGACTGTGCTGCCAGTGGCAGAGTCAGGCCAGGGCAGGTATGGGCTGCTCCAGAGGTCCTTGCCGCTGCTTCCTGCTCCAGGCCCTTACCCAGGGTAGGGTGGTAGAAAGGCCTGGTCGGAGAAGTCACCCCCTCTCCCCACTCCAAGCTCCCCAAGCCCACACAGGCTTCTGGGATAACCAGGGTCTCAGTGGACCCGGCCATCCACCTCCCAGCTAGGCTCATACACCCTAATGTAGTCACAACCCCTCCTCCAGAACATGACCTTGCCCTTTCCCTACCCCCACCTGCCCACTCCAGAGTGACCTTCAGCACCCTTATCTGTCACTGGCACTTACCTGGGGCCTTAGAGCTCCTGATGATGAGTGGCATCATGGGCCTGGTCCCTTCACTTCACCTTGCACTCTTGACATGCACAGACGCTATGCACACACCTGATGGTGCACAGATCTCTTGTCCACTCCCAGACACTTGTCCACTTGTTCACACTTGCAGGGACACGATTACACATGCAGAAAATCACCCACACAAAGACAATATTCACACATACACAGACTCACACTGACACTCAGGGCACACATTCTCTCTCACACACACCAGTCACACACACATACAGACCCGGCACCAAGTACCCCACTTCCCAGCCATGCCCGAGGTTTCCTGGATGGGACCTCTCCTGTCCAGAGGCTGCTCCCGGTGAGCCTCAAAGCTGTCACATGGATCCCAGCTCAGCCCACATTCTGGGCTCTGGCCGGGCCATGACTTCCTGTTTGCAACAGGGCTGTTCCCAGAGCTCCCAGTTGGTAGCCTGAAGGCCCTTGCCCCAGCCTGTGACAGCATCCTCCAGGGCTGCCTGAGGGTCGTCATTCTCCACTGCTTCCTGGCCTCCATGTTTCTGATTAGAAATCTGGTGGAAACATTATGGAGGATCCTTTATTTAGGATATGTTGCTTTTTTATTTTTATTTTTTCTTTAGACAGGGTCTCACTCTGTTGCCCGGGCCGGAGTGCAGTGGCAGGATCATGGCTCACTGCAATCTCAACATCAAGTGGACCTCCTGCCTCCCAAGTAGCTGGGACTACAGGCACCACCGAGCCCAAATAATTTTTTTTTTGAGACGGAGTTTTGCTCTGTCGCCCAGGTGGGAGTGCAATGATGCGATCTCGGCTCACTGCAACCTCCACCTCCAGGGTTCAAGCGATTCTCCTGCCTCAGCCTCCCAAGTAGCTGGGATTACAGGTGCCCACCACCATGCCTGGCTGATTTTTTGTACAAGAAGTTTATAGAACACCAAGCAGATTTAACCCAAAGAAGACGACCTCAAGGCATCTGATAATTAAACTCCGAAAGGTCAAGGATAAAGAAAGGATCCTAAAAGCAGCAAGAGAAAAGAAACAAATAACATGCAGTAGAGCTCCAATACATGACATGGGGCAGCCACCTTTCCAGTGGAAACCTTACAGGCCAGGGGGGAGTGGCATGACATATTTAAAGTGCTGAAGGAAAAAAAACTTTTAGCCTAGAATAACGTATCTGGCAAAAATATCCTTCCAACAGGAAGGAGAAATAAAGACCTTCCCAGACAAACAAAAGCTGCGAGATTTCATCAACACCAGACCTATATCCCACAAGAAATGCTAAAGGGAGTTTTTCAATCTGAAAAAAAAAAGGATATTAATGAGCAAGAAGAAATCATCTAAAGGTACAAAACTCACTGGTAATAGTAAGCACACAGAAAAACAGAGTATTATAATACTGTAATTGTGGTGTGTAAACTACTCTTATTTTAATTAGACTAAATGATGAACCAATCAAAAATAATAAGTACTTTTCAAGACAGACAGTACAGTAAGACATAAAGAGGCCGGACCCGGTGGCTCACGCAGGTAATCCCAGCACTTTGTAAGGCTGAGGTGGGTGGATCACCTGAGGGCAGGAGTTCGAGACAAGCCTGGCCAACATGGTGAAACCCCATCTCTACTAAAAATACAAAAAATTTAGCTGGGCATGGTGGTGGGCGCCTGCTACCCAGGAGGCTGAGGCAGGAGAATCGGTTGAACCTGGGAAGTGGAGGTTACAGTGAGCTGAGATCGTGCCACTGCACTCTAGCCTGGGCAACAGAGCAAGACTTTATCTCAAAAACAAAAAAAGAGAAACAACAAAAAGTTAAAAAGCACTAAGATGAACTTAAAGTGTAGAGTTTTTATTAGTCTTCCTTTTGCTTTATGTTTGTTTACACAATCAGTGTTGTCATCCGTTTAAAATAATGAGTTATAAGATAATATTTGCAAGCCTCACGGCAACCTCAAATCAAAAAGCACACAATAAGTGAGACTGTGTCTCAAAAAGAAAAGAAGAAAAAACACACAATGGATACACACACACAAAAAAGCAAGAAATTAAATCATACCACCAGAGAAAATCACCTTCATTAAAAGGAAGACAAGGAAAAAAAAAAAAAAAAAAAAAAAAAAGAGAAGACCACAAAACAGTGAGAAAAGAAATAACAAAATAGCAGGAGTAAGTCCCTGCTTAGCAATAATAACATTGAATGTAAATGGACTAAACTCTCCAATACAAAGACACAGAGTGGCTGAATGGATGAAAAAGCAAAGCTCAATGCTCTTTTGTCTAGAAGAAACACACTTCACCTGTAAAGATACACATGGACTGAAAATAAAGGGATGGAAAAAGATACTCCATGCCAATGGAAAACAAAAAAGAGCAGGAGTAGCAATACTTAGACAGAACAGATTTTAAAACAAAAACTGTAAGAGGAGGCCGGGTGTGGTGGCTCACGCCTGTAATCCCAGCACTTTGGGAGGCCAAGACGGGCGGATCACGAGGTCAGGAGATTGAGACTATCCTGGCTAACATGGTGAAACCCCGTCTCTACTAAAAATACAAAAAATTAGCCAGGCGTGGTGGCGGGCGCCTGTAGTCCCAGCTACTCAGGAGGCTGAGGCAGGAGAATGGCGTCAACCTGGGAGGCGAAGCTTGCAGTGAGCCAAGATCGCGCCACTGCACTCCAGCCTGGGTGACAGAGCGAGACTCCGTCTCCAAAACAAAACAAACAAACAACAACAACCAAAAAAACTGTAAGAGGAGACAAAGAAGGTCATCCAGCAACAGAATATAACAATTGTAAATACATATGCACACAACACTGGAGCACGTAAAGCAAATGTTATTGGAGCCCAAGAGAGACGTTAACGCAATAACAGCTAAAGACGTCAACACCCCACATTCAGCATTGGACGGGTGTCCCAGATGGAAACCCAATAAGAAAACATTAGACTTAATCTGCACTACAAAAGAAATGGACCTACTAGATACTTACAGAACACTTCGTCTAAAGTCTGCAGAATACACATTCTTCTCCTCAGCACATGGATCATTCTCAAGGATACACCATATGTTAGGTCACAAAGCAAGTCTTAAAACATTACAAATGTTAAAATAATATCAAGCATCTTCTCTGACCACAACAGAATAAAAGTGGAAATCAACAACAAGAGGAATTCTGGAAACTATACATACACGTGAAAATTAAACAATATGGTCCGGAATGGCCAGTGGTTCAATGAAGAAATTAGGAAGGAAATTTGGCTGGGCACAGTAGCTTACACCTGTAATCCCAGCACTCTGGGGGGCTGAGGCAGTCAGATGACCTGAGATAGGGAGTTCGAAAGCAGCCTGGCCAACATGGTGAAACTCCGTCTCTACAAAAAATACAAAAATTAGCAAAGCATGGTGGCATGTGCCTGCAGTCCCAGCTACTAGGGAGGCTGAGATGGGAGGATTGCTTGAACCCAGGAAGTCAAGGCTGCAGTGAGCCCTGATGGCATCACTGCACTCCAGCCTCGGTGACAGAGCAAGACCCTGTCTCAAGAAAACACACACACACACACACACACACACACACACACAGATGCTCAAACTAATATCATTTTGCTGTTAGAGCCAAGAGGGGTGGCCTGTGTAGTAAAAAGTGGGGAAGTCATTCCTTGCACAATGCAAGCCACTGGACCAAGAGTCCAAACTGACTCTTGACAGGAGGCTGGGAGATATCTGCTAAGGCCTTGGAATGTCCTGCCTGAAATAGTGTCTTTGTACATAGCTAGGGCCTTGGACCGTACAACACAGTTTATGCCAACAATGTGATCGAGGGTGGGGCCGTCAGGCCTGTATCCATCTGACTTCAGGAGGGGCTGGAGACTGAGTAACTGAGGTCAGCCATGCTGCGGGGGCTCAAGCCTAGGATGACCAACTCCCAACAAAAACCATGGACACCAAGGCCCAGGTGAGCTTCCGTGGCTGGCAGGGCTCTCTGCTGCCTCACTTACTGTTGGGGGAGAATTAAGCACTGCCTGTAGGAGTCCACCAGAAAAGAGAGCTGCAGCCTTGGCCTGGTCATTCTGGACTCTGGTCCCTGTGCCTTTCATCTTTGCTGACTTTAATCTGTACCCTTCTCTGTAATAAACTGTTAACAGGGAGAATAACAGCTTTTCTAGGGCTGTGAGACCTTCTAGAAATCACTGAACCTGAGGGTGGTCTGGGGGAGCACAACACAGTCTCCCACCCTAGCCAGGGAATGGGTTGATTCTTGGCATATGCCTATTCATATCCACCCCAGCCAAGACTTACGCATGGACTTTGTCACCAAGCCAGGCAGCCAGTGATGGGTCTCTGGGCGTGACGTGGGGGCAGGCTGTTTCCTGCTGAGAATCACTATGCCTGTATCTCAAGTAAAGTCAGGCGTCCAGGTAAGAGTGAATGAGGTGAGGCTGGTCTCGGTGGCTCACGCCTGTAATCCCAGCACTTTGGGAGGCTGAGGCTGGTGGTCACGTGAAGTCAGGAGTTTGAAACCAGACTGGCCAACATGGCGAAACCCATCACTACTAAAAAGACAAAAATGAGCCGGGGGTGGTACCCGGTGCCTGTAATCCCAGCTACTCAGGAAGCTGAGGCACGAGAATCGCTTGAACTCTGGAGGCGGAGGTTGCAGTGAGCTGAGATTGCACCACTGCACTCCAGCCTGGGTGACAGAGTAGGCTCCATCTCAAAAAAAAAAAAAAAAAAATGAATGAATGAGGTGAGGGGTGAGGGGTGAGGGGTGAGCACTGACATCAGGCAGGTGACTGACGACCCAACACAACCAGGACCTTGGCAGGGGCCCAGACTGGATACAGAAACCAAGTGGGAGCCACTAGACTAATTTATTGTACAACAGGGTCCCAGCTGAGGAGCAACTCTAGCGGGGCACAGCACAAAGCTCATAGGGGGATGGCGTCACCAGAAAGCCGACGACACGAGAGTGGCTGGGCCGGGGCTGTCCGGTGGGCACCGAGAAGCTGAAGTGCTGCAGCAGGGAGGTGAAGAAGAGGAAGAGCTCTATGCGGGCCAGGGGCTCCCCGAGGCATGCACGGCGGCCTGTGGGGAGGGGAGGGGCGTCAGTGAGCCTGGCTCCCGGGTGATACCCCTGCAAGACTCCACGGAAGGGGACAGGGAGCCGGGCTCCCCACAGGCACCTGCTGAGAAAGGCAGGAAGGCCTCCAGCTTCACAAAGTGGCCCTGGGCATCCAGGAAGTGTTCGGGGTGGAAGCGGAAGGGCTTCTCCCAGACGGCCTCATCCTTCAGCACCGATGACAGGTTGGTGAAGAGCATCATCCCCTGGGCAGGAGATGCAGGGTGAGAGTGGGGACTGGACTCTAGGATGCTGGGACCCCCAAGCACACAGGGGACACACACTGCCTGGCACACAGCTGGACTCTGTCAACTAGTCCTGTGCCCGAGAAGCTCCAGAGCACCCTCTCCGACCCCATGGCAGGGCGCAGTCACACCTCCTGGGAGCGCCCACGCTACCCCCTCTCCCTACAGGTATTGGGGTCCTCCAACATTCTGGCAGGTCCTGGTCTGCCTTCCCCACTAGACTGGGGCTCTGGATGGACAGGCCAGCCCTGCCTATACTCTGCACCCCACACCCAGGCTGGGACAGTCGATGTGGTGGCATTGAGGACTGGGTGGCCAGGGTTCCTAGACTGGGCCCACCTGGCAGTGGCCATGCTGGGGCTATCACCAGGGGCTGGTGCTGAGCTGGGGTGAGGAGGGTGCCAGGCCTACCTTAGGGATGCGGAAGCCCTGTACTTCGATGTCACGGGATGTCATATGGGTCACACCCAGGGGGACGATGTCCCCAAAGCGCTGCACCTCGTGAATCACGGCAGTGGTGCAGGGCATGCGAGCCTGGTCACCCATCTCTGGTCACCACACCTGCCCTATCACGTTGTCGATCTGTTGGACACGGCCTGGACAGACACGCGTCCCCACAATGGGTCAGCACCCAGGGGACCAGCCCTGACACTCTCCTGCCTCCTGTGTTGGAGGAGGTTAGGCTTACAGGAACCTGGCCAAGCCTGTGCTTGGAGTCCCGGGTGTCCCAGCTAAGCTCAGGGGCCCCCACCTGTACCCTTCCTCCCTTGCCCCCTGCACTGGGCCCCAGCTGGGCTCACGCTGCACATCCGGGCGTAGGATCATGAGCAGGAGGCCCCAGGCCAGCGTGATCGAGGTGGTCACCATCCCGGCAAAGAACAGGTCAGCCACCACCATGCGCAGGTTCTCATCATTGAAGCTGCTCTCAGGGTTCCCCTTGGCCTGAGCAGGGCTGAGAGGGTACTCAGGGGACAGAACGGGAAAGCCCCCAAATGACCTCCACATTCTGCACCTGTCAGCCCAGGTGCCACTTGCCAAGTGATCCAATGGACCCACCTTTTGCCTGCCTCATTCCTCCCGGACGCTCAACCCACCACCCCTGGTCCCTACCGTGTCAGCCACTCTCACCTTCTCCTTCTCTGCCAGGAAGGCCTCAGTCAGGTCTCGGGGTGGCTAGGCTGGGTCCCAGATCATTCTGTGCTCGGTCAGCAGCTCATCCAGCTGGGTCAGGAAAGCCTTTTGGGAGCGTAGGACCTTGCCAGCCAGCCCTGGGATGCGCAGGAGGAGGGGGACAACATTCAGCATCTACAGCTGACACAGAACGGGGTCTCAATCCCTCCTGTGCTCTGCGTTCACCTGGACCAGTCTCAGGCCCCAGCTGCCTCCAGGGAAGACCCAGGGCCTACCTGTCCCCACCACTCACCTCCCCAAGTCCCTCCCCAAGTGCCAGCCTCCACCCTCTCTCCTTGCCCTGGGCTGCCAGAGGAGAAACCTAAAAATCAAAATCTCCAATGTGGACAGGAGGCACAGGGTCCTTGGCCTTTCTTGGTGCCCCCTGACCCGGGCACACCTCTCCCACGACCGTATCTGAGATGTCTCCTCCTCCTCAAGGCCCTTCCTCTAGCAGTGAGCTCTTCTGGAATGTCCTTTCCCAAACCACTCTATGCAAACCCTGCTCCTTGGAGGTCCGGCTGCAGTCCCGGCACCTCTCAGGAGCTCGCCCTGCAGAGACCCTGCGGTCCCTCGCTCCACATCTCTCACAGAAAGCCCAGCTCCTCCTTCAATCCCTTCTGAGCTAGGTCCAGTAGCCTGAGGAAGCGAGGGTCGTCGTACTCGAAGCGGCACCCGCAGGTGAGGGAGGCGATCACGTTGCTCGCCGCTTTGTTCAGGAGGCCGTTGGGGTGAAAGGGGCGTCCTGGGGGCGGGAGATGCGGGTCAGGGGTCGCCTTCCCAGTCCTCCACCTTCCCAGTTCCCGCTTTGTGCCCCTCTGCCCATCACCCACTGGCTTGGTCGGCGAAGGCGGCACAGAGGCAGGCGGCCTCCTCGGTCACCCACCGCTCCAGGGACTTCTTGCCCAGGCCCAAGTTGCGCAAGGTGGACACGGAGAAGCGCCTCTGCTCGCGCCACGCGTGTCCGTAGTGTGCCAGAAACACCCCTGGGGGCGGGACGGACACATGGGCGTGGTCATGGAGGCCTTGGCCCCGCCCTCCGCCGCCCACTCCAACCCTGTGCTTTTCCTGGTCTCCCGCAGTCCCTGGCCCTGTCCAGCTGGGCACAGGGCCTGCTCTTTGCTCACTCACCTTGCTTGGGTCTTGGCCCCACCTTGGCTCTTCCGACCCTGACTGCCTTTCCACTCAGGGAAGATCCCGCCCGTCCCGCCCCGCCCATACTGAGCCCACAGCAGAGTCCATCCCGGCTTCTAGACACCCGCTTCCAGCTGGGAAAGGCGCCAGCTCCGCCCACCCGGTTCCTGGTGGGTCTCGGCAGTTGCCCCGCCCACTCACAAGCCCCTCTTCCTCCCGCCCACAGACTCGCACCTCCCCAATGGAAGTGGTTTCCTGGCTCGCTGTCCCCAACCCACTCACTGGCCCACAACCCCGCGCCCTCTCAGCCCAGCTTGGGCTACGGTCACCGCCCACCCAGGACCCACGGAAACGCAGTCTCTGTCCCCCACCGCCGCTTGCCTTGGGAGCGCGGCCCGATGCCCAGGACCTGGTAGATGGGCGCAGGCGGGCGGTCGGCGGTGTCCTCGCCGCAGGTCACCAGAGCCTCACGCACGGCCGCCAGCCCATTGAGCACGACCACCGGCATCCAGGCCAGCTGCAGGCTGAACACGTCCCCAAAGCGGTGCCGCAGCTGTAGAGGGAGGGTCAGGGCCTCCGTTGGGTCAGGGCCTCCATCAGGCCAGGGTCCCCCCAGACTGCAGGTCCTAGTCCTATTTGAACCTTAGACGACCCTCGGGGCTACCAGGAGTGAGCAGGTGGAAGGAGGAGACCCAGCCTCCCGATCCTGGGGCGGGGATGGGGTCACACCTTCTGTGATGGAGGAACTCAGTTTGGATGCGTCACCCAGGTATGACCTTGCAAGAGTCACCAAAATTGCCGAGAGGCCCCAGTTAGCATCCCATTCCCAGATGATGGTCCATGCCGGTGAGCAGTGAGGCCCGAGGACCCACAGTGCAAAAGGTTTGAACCGGGTCCACTATATCCCTTCATCCTTGATTTCTAACTTACTCATTTATTTAGACCATGTCTGGCTCTGTCACCCAGGCTGGAGCGCAATGGCGCGATCTTGGCTCACTGCAACCTCCACCTCCCGGGTTCAAGCAATTCACCTGCCTCAGCCTCCCATGTAGCTGGGATTACAGGTGCCCACCACCGTGCCCCGCTAATTTTTGTATTTTTAGTAGAGGCAGGGTTTCACCATGTTGGCCAGGCTGGTCTCGAACTCCTGACCTTGTGATCCCCCCACCTTGGTCTCCCAAGATGCTGGGATTACAGGTGTGAGCCACCGCGCCCAGCCGTTGATTTTTTTTTTTTTTTTTTTTTTTTTTTTTTTTTGAGACAGAGTCTCGCTCTGTCGCCCAGACTGGAGTGTAATGGTGTGTTCTCAGCTCACTTCAAGCTCTGCCTCATGGGTTCATGCCATTCTCCTGCCTCAGCCTCCCAAGTAGCTGGGACTACAGGTGCCCACCACCTCGCCTGGCTAATTGGTTTGTATCTTTAGTAGAGACGGGTTTCATTGTGTTAGCCAGGATGGTCTCGATCTCCTAACCTCATGATCCGCCCGCCTTAGCCTCCCAAAGGGCCGGGATTACAGGCGTGAGCCACCGCGCCCGGCCTGATTTCTTATTCGTTTATTTAGACATTGTCTGGCTGTGTCACCGAGGTTGCAAGGCAATGGCACAATCTCCACTCACTACAACCTCTGCCTCCTAAGTTCAAGCAATTCTCCTGCCTCAGCCTCCCAAGTAGCTGGGATTGCAGGCGTGCACCACTGTGCCCAGCTCATTTTTTGTATGTTTAGTAGAGACCGGTTTTTGCCATGTTGGCCAGACTCATCTGGAACCCCTGACCTCAGGTGATCCGCCCACCTTGGCTTCCTTAAGTGCTGGGATTATAGGCGTGAGCCACCACGCACAGCCTGATTTCCTGATTTAAACGGCACACAGGACCCTGACTCGTCTTCCATTCCCAAGGCCTTTCCTTCTGGTGTCAGCAGAGGGGACTTTGTGCTCCTAACATATGCTGCCCAATGGGCTTGCACGCCCACTGCCAAGTCCAGCTCCACCTCCAGGCCCTTGCCCTACTCTTCCTTGGCCTTTGGAAAATCCCATCTTTCATGCCATGCATAAATGCCCTCCCCCAGGAAGTCCCTCAAATCTGCTTCCCCTTCTCAGCCTGGCTTCTTGTCCAGACTGTGGCTCCACCCACCACCCATGTTTGCTGGTGGTGGGGGATCCTCAGGACCTCCTCCCTCACCTGGTTGAAGGTGTATATGTTCTGGAAGTCCACATGCAGCAAGTTGCCCAGCCCGGGCAGTGGCAGGGGGCCTGGCGGGTAGCGTGCAGTCCAGCGTTGGTGCTGCTGCATCAGGTCCACCAGGAGCAGGAAGATGGCCACTGTCACTGCCAGGGGCACCAGTGCATCCAGCCCCATGGCTGCCTCACTGCCCATTGGGCTCCTCTGGACACACCTGGCACCTCCACCCCACCAGGCACAGAGGACCAGGCAGGACACTCTCAGCACACCCAGTGCATGACCGTTCCCTTATAAAGGGAGCTGATGATGGCCTTTGCCTTCTGCTGTGAGCCAACCTGCTGTGTTGACTGTGCTGCCAGTGGGTGCAGGGTCAGGCCAGGGCGGGTATGGGCTGCTGCAGAGGTCCTTGCCCCTGCTCGCTCTAGTTGCCTACCCAGATTAGGGTGGTGGGCGAGAGGTGGCCTGGCATGGGAGCTCCACCCAAGTTGGAGGTATGGATTGTACTGGGTGCTGGGCTGTGTACTGGGAGCATGGTGGTAAGGCTGTGAGTCAATGCCCCAACGTAATGATGACCACGGGGAGTAGGAAGGTAACATAGCTGACATGACAAGCCAGCAGTGCCATGAGGGTCCATGGGGACGTTGTCCCAGGCTGGAACAGGACTTTCTGGGAAGGATTCATGGAGAACTTTGTCTAGCTGACTGAGGGGCTGCCTAGCACTGTAGGCCACGGCACTGGCAGTGGGACCAACCCACCCCTGGAATTTCCTGTGCAGGTGGCCTGAGGGGCAGCAGGAGGCCAGCAGCTGGAGCCTGGGTCTTTTCAGGTCTGGATGAAGACTGGATCTGGGGAACAAAAGGCAGGGAGAACAGTTTATTTAAAATTTAAAAATATATATATATTTTTTAGAGACAAGATCTTGCTCTGTTGCCCAGGCTGGAGTGCAGAGCTGTGATCATAGCTCACTCAAACTCCTGTGCTCAATCAAGAGATCCTATTTTAGCGTCCCGAGTAGCTGGAACTACAGGTGCACATCATTACGCTCGGCTAATTTTTTTGTTGAGATGGGTCCTCACTATGTTGCCCACGCTGGTCTGGAACTCCTGGCTTCAAGTGATCCTCCTGCCTTGGCCTCCCAAAGTGTTGGAAATAGAGGCATGAGCCACCTGGCCCAACAGAAGTTTTGAAGCTACTCAACTGACAGAGAGAGCAAGACCCATGCCTATCTGGGGACTTCTCAGATCTGGCTTGTGGTCTCCCAAACTGGCCTCAGCTGAATGAATGTTCCTGTCCTACATGGCAGCACTGTTCTATTTGGGACTGTGAGAGAATCAAGGTGCAGGGACAGCAGGATGGTCTGGGTGCTTGTTACATGGTGGCCCTTTATACATTACCTGTATGCACTCTTGGCCTTTTGAGGTGTCAGGCCCTCCCCAAGCAGTCATCATGAATCATGATGGGGGTGTGAAGGGCAGGGACAGGCATGCCTGCAATGTGGGCAGTGTCCTCCCGAGTGCCCTCCTTACCAGCCAGAGGCCTGTAATTCAAGATATGGCAGCATGAGGAAAACATTTAATAACAATGCCTGTGGCCTTTTCCAATCATTGTGCACCTGTGGCTTCCATTGATCGGGCACTTATGTGCCAGAAACTGCTGGTCAGACTGTGTGCTCTAGCTCATTAATCCTCCCACAGCCCCCTAAGGAGGTGGTTTTATGGTCCCCAAGGCACAGAGACTGAGGCTCAGAGATCACATAACAAGGTTCAAGTCACACAGCGGTGTTAGGAGTCCACATCCAATGTGTATGCTGAGCTACTATTCTATACTGTTTGGACATTACATTCTATTAATGGTCAGTATAGATGTTTCTGGGATTTATTATTTTTAGGAAACAGATCCAACCTGCCTTCCCTGAACAGTGGTACTGCTGTGTCATGGTAAAAAGTGCACTGTGCCCTGGCAGGCCCTATGGACGTTGCCAAGTGAGATGGTGTGAAAATATGTCAGCAAGTGGTAGACTAGGAAACTGCGGGCTCTCGTTCTCCTAGAGAGCTCAATGTTAAAGCTATAGGAGACCAAAACATCGTGAGAATTCTAGAAACTAGTTAGGATGCTGCAATGCCAGCTAGTGCAGAGCCAGGGAGGGACTGCACTGGGAAGGGTAGTCAAGTTGGAGCATTTTGCTTGTTCTTGCCCTTCCCCCTGCCAGGCATAGCAATGCTACTGGGAGAGACCCTCCAATTCCCAGCTCCTCCCATGGGATGGGTTTCTGCTGGGTCCGACTCAAGAGTGCTGAGTGGTGGGGTCTGTCTGCCCTCAGAGCAGCACCTCTGCGTTTCCACAGCTGCAAGGGGACGGGGTTATGGGCAGTGGAATAGTTGTGTCTGGGTATCCTGGAGGGGATTGGTGCCAGGACCCCCGGTAAATACCAAAACCCAAGGATGCTCAGGTTCCTTATGTAAAATGGCATAGTATACCTATGCAAATGCTCCTGTATACTTTAAATCATCTCTAGATTATTTGTAATGCCTAATACAGTGTAAATGCTACATAAATAGTTGCTATACTGTACTGCTCTTATTTGTATTTTTAGTTGTTATACTTTCTCAAGTTATCTTTGATGTGTGGTTGAATTTGTGGATGCGGAGCCTGTGGGTATCGAGGGCTGCTTGTACCCTAGAAACAGAAATGGAAAGCTCCAGGGGCAGGGCCAGCCTGCAGGGGGGCAGTTTAATGGGTAAAGCTTCCGTTTTATAAAATGAAAAATTCTGGAGATTGGTTGCACAACAATCTGAACACATTTCCCACTAAACTGTACTGTGACTGTTATGATGGTACATTTTTTTAACCACAATTTAAAAACTTTATGAGTATTAAAAAAATAAATGGCTATATACACACCTATTAGAATGGCTTAAATCCAGAACACTGACAACACCAAATGCTGGCAAGGATGTGGAGCATCAGGAACTCATTCATTGCTGGTGGGAGTACAAAATGGTACAGACACTTTGGAAGAAAGTTTGGCAATTTCTTTTCCTTTTCTCAGTTTTTTTTTTTTTTTTTTTTTTGAGACAGAGTCTCACTCACTCTGTCACCCAGGCTAGGAGTGCAGTGGCACGATGATCTCAGCTCACTGGAACCTTTGCCTCCTGCGTTCAAGCAATCCTCCCACCTCAGCCTCCCGTTTAGCTGGGACTGCAGGCGTGAGCCACCATGCCTGGCTGATTTTTGTATTTTTAGTAGAGACAGGGTTTCACCATGTTGGCCAGGCTGGTCTCAAACTCCTGACCTCAGGTGATCCAGACAGTTTGGCAATTTCTTACAAAACTAGACATACTCTTACCATACAATCCACCAATCGTGCTTCCTGTACTTACCCAAAGGAGTTGAGGCCTTATGTCCACACAAAAACCTGCAAAGGGATGTTTACAGCAGCTTCATTTGTAATTGTCAAAACTTGAAAGCAACCAAGATGTTCTTCAGCAGTTGAATGGATAAACTGTGGTACAGCCAGACAATGGAATTATTTATCACTAAAAAGAAACAAGCTATCAAGTCATGAAAAGACACGGGTGAACCTTAAATGCACATTACTAAGTGAATGAAGCCAATCTAAAAAAGGCTACCTACTATCTAATCTCAACTATATGATACTTTGGAAAAGGCAAAACTTTGCAGACAGTAAAAGGCTCAGCGGTGAGGGACTGGGGCTAAGGAGGAATGAACAGTGGGACACGGAGGATCCCTGGAGCAGTGAAACTACTCTGGATCATGGTGCGTCCTCGTCTTTTTGAGACAGGATTTTGCTGTCACCCAGGCTGAAGTGTGGTGGCGCGATCACGACTCACTGTAGCCTCGACCTCCTGGGCTCAAGTGATCCTCCCATCTCAGCCTCCCAAGTAGCTGAGACTACAGGCATGCACCATCATGCCTGGCTAATTTTTGTATTTTTATGTAGAGATGGGGTTTCGCCATGTTGCCCAGGCTGTTCTCGAACTCAAGCGATACACCCACCTGAGCCTCCCAAAATGCTGGGATTATAGGCGAGAGCCACCACGCCCTGCCAGATCCAGGTCTTTATACATTTGTCAAAGGCCATAAAATGTACACCACCGGGAGTGGCCCCTAGTATAAACTATGGACTTTGGGTGAAAACAGTATGCCAACTCTGGTTGGGATGTTGATAGAGGGAAAGGTATGCATACGGGGGGAAGGGGTTATATGGGAACTGTCTGTACCGTCAGCTTAATCCTTCTGTGAACATAAAACTACTTTAAAAAAATCAATTAAGACAAACACTAAAGGAACTAAAAGGCACTTGAGCAGTTGAGGAGAACTGCAGAAGCCAGAAACTGGAGTCAGGAGGCATGCGTGTATCACTGCCACTCCCCAGTGAAGGTCATTACTGAAGCCAATTTAAGGAAAGACCTAGAACAATCACAAGTGCTCCACTCAGGCAAATCAAAAGGGGACAAAAGAATAAAAGACAAAATGACAAACATTTGCTGTCAGGAAAATATTTTCCTCAAGATACATATTTTTCAAGTTTTGTGGTTTAGCCCTTGACACCTGAAGTCTATCCATTTCATTTTAACTGTATTAATGCCAAGTCAAGACCAGAATGAGACAACAACTAGCTCAAAAAAGCCATCATTTCTGTGCAGGTCCTGTTCAGTTGCCTAAGCTTGGTCCTACGGCCGGCACGGCGCACCCACCCACACCTCCATCCTGGCGGAGTGAAATGAGAAATGGACTGCTTGATGTAGCCATTAAAATACAATTAATCTGCCATTTCTGCTGCCCCAAATTGATGAACACAGAACTCATTTATAATTGCTTATTTCTGCTTCACAATATTCCTTCCAGTATTTCCATTCTCTAAAAAAGTCCATTAACATTCCATTATTTTTTTATAACCCTTAATGTTGATTGGAAATATGTCTTCATATCAACTTGAGTAAATCTGACTGTCCCCATACACTGGCCACACTCCACCTGCCCAGAGGAGTGGCAGAAGAACCCTATATTTTGTTTGCTTCCCGGCTGCGTGGCCATCGAGAGGCCAGGAATGGGACAGACAGGTTCTGATCATGGCCTCCTCTGGAGAACCAGAGCTACCCTTTGGGGGTTAGAATGGGAGAAGGAAGAGACGCATTCACTTTAAAGTAAACAGAAGAGGAAACAAGGTTAAAATGAAGTTTATTATTTTTTTGATTTTTTGATTTTTTTTGTTTTTTGTTTTTTTAAATAAAACTGTTTGTGAAACAGCTATTTTATCCCCATGGCAGAGTGACCCCTGAAAGATGCACTAACCCCTTCTTAAGGCCATAACAAGATTTTTTTGTACTTTTTTCTTTTTTTAAAACTCAGATATTTAAAAATTATACAATTTACAAAACAAAACAACACAACATAAAGAATCACGTAGCATGGGGCTGCCTATCTGACAGGTCCTCTTTTCCTTTATAAAAATGAAAGCAAAAAGAAAAAGGGGTTAAATGGGTGTTCCTGGTCAGCTTAACCCACTCTGATCACAGCGACAGTCCCTCCCCGTCCCTGCCTACAGCTCACACTGCCAGCTCTGGCAACACAGGCCTGGACCTCCTCCCATCCCCACGGGTCCCTGTGGGTCAGGGCACAGCTGCCTGGAATGTGCTGAGGACAGGGGGCCCCAGAGGAGGGTCATCCCTTGATTTTGCTGCTGCTGTGTACACTTGATGGGGTCCTTGAGGTCCTCACCAGCCACAGTGACCCAGGACACAGCTATGACCTCAGGCATCTGCCAATTTCACCCCCAAAAAGAAAAAATTAAAAAAAAAAAACCATAAATAAATAGTGTTTCTGGAAATGAAAAAAAATTTATTTTTGTGTTTAAACATCATTCCCCTACTCTTGAAAACATGGACCATCCCTGTATTTCCCCCTCCCCCAAAACCTTCCCACTTTGAGACAAATTAATGACAAAAGGATGGTTCTGCTGTGGTTTGCTTTTTCAATCCTGGGTCTAGTGTTTTCTGAACTGGTGTGAGACAGGCTAAAGATCAACGCCACACACACACCCCGTCCTTCATGAGATGAGGGTTTGTTCAGTTCAATCTCACATTTAAATTTCACTTGTCATCGGAACAAATTTGGAGATCTTTAACGAGATAATTTTAAAACAGAATCAAAAGGGATAGCGCACCTTTCATTTAAACAAAGTCTTTCCAGACTAAAAATAGATTTATATATATATATTTATCCCTCCCTTTTAATTCCCCCCACCCTTTCCCCATCATCCCACCCCTCCCCCCTCCCCCCACATTGTCACTATGGAGATTGTGTCCATGGAAACAGCCATTCCAACGTCTTGGGTCTTTCTTTCCTGTGGTGTCACTGGTTTGAGTGTGATGTGAGAACTTAAGGAAGTGCTGGCATGGGCAGGCACGCGGGCGGGGCGGGGCGGGGCAGGGCAGGGTGTGGCTGCACGGTAGGACGATTTCCATTCCATCACGAGTGTCCACCACCTTCTCATCTCCACAGTCTCACCTGGAAGACAAGGGACACACAGTGAAGGCCAGGAGCCTCCACAGGGTCCACCACCAACAGCCGCTGTTCCGTGGTACCCCTGGGAGCTTTCAGCAGGGAGCCTGCACTCACGCCCCTCTGCAGATGTGCTGCTGATATGGGACACACCCGAGACCAATGCCAGGGCCACTGTGTGGCTCTGGATCTGGAATGTGATTAAAGGCAGCAATGACCTAGTGGGGGTGCTGGGGTTGGACTCTGAGGGCTCCTCAGGGCATGTCTGCCTTCCTAGTGCATAAAGGAACCAGTACAGCAGAGAACTCCCTGACCTCAGGGCAGGCCCCACTTGTGGGGCAGCTGGTGGGGCTTTGCCAGTGTCAGGACCCCAGTTGTGACTGAAACCTACAGTACCTGGTCAATCTGTGGAAGAAACTTCTCGAAGTCCAGCCTTTTAGGACAGTTTCACAGCTGCCTCTAGTCAACACAGCTAGTTGTTTGTTTTTGAGACAAGACATCGCTCTGTCGCCTTGGCTCCCTGCAGCCTTGACCTCCTGGGCTCAAGCAATCCTCCCACCTCAGCCTTCCAAGTAGCTGGGACTACAGGTACACGCCACCATGCTTGGCTAATGACAGTCTTTTTTTTTTTTTTTTTTTTTTTTTTTTTTTTGAGACAGTCTTGCTCTATTGCCCAGACTGGAGTGTAGTGGTGTGCTCTTGGCTCACTGCAGCCTCTGCCCCCTGGGTTCAAGTGATTCTTGTGCCTCAGCCTCCCAAATAGCTGGGATCACAGGTGCACGCCACCACACCCGGCTAATTTTTGTATTTTTAGGAGAGATGTGGTTTTGCCATGTTAGGCTGGTCTAGAACTCCTGGCCCCAGCTGATCTGCCCACCTCGGCCTCCCAAAGTGTTGGGATTACAGGCGTGAGCCACTACACCTGGCCCACAGTCAGTTCTTCATGCTTAAAAAGAACACTCTTCCCATGGCCTCTAACAGGGAGGGCAGGTTTTCTGAGGCTCAGACAGAGCTGGACTATGTTAATCCTTTCGACCTCTCAGGAACCTGAGACCCCTAGGTCTCCCATCC
Source organism: Homo sapiens (assembly GCF_000001405.40). Taxonomy (NCBI): domain Eukaryota; kingdom Metazoa; phylum Chordata; class Mammalia; order Primates; family Hominidae; genus Homo; species Homo sapiens. The sequence goes on from NW_003315971.2 coordinate 72,615, forward strand.
CCAGGCTGGAGGGCTTCTCTCCTCTTCCAGCCCATGTGCAGAAGGGGATTCTGATGGCCCACGTAGGACAGATGGATTGTACCAAAGGTCCCTGTGGAACGCTTCATGGGCCATCTGATGTGGAAAGGTCTCAAAGACAAACAGCAGTTTCCTAGGAATCAGTCCAGTAAAATTTCACCAGAAGCCAGAAGTGGTGGCAGCCTTGCCCCTCCTTCACTTGCTATCTGCCAATCACTGTGCTTAAGACTGTCACTGGGGCTCACCTAACTGCTTCCTCAAGACCAATTTGGTGCCCTCCCCTGACAAACCCCAAGAACCCAAGTGTCACCAGCCCTTTCTGCTTCCATAAAGTTCACACACGCAGAACTGCTAAGGCGGCTGGGGCCTGCGGGAGCTAAGATTGAGCTGTTCCCAAGCACGTACATGCACATGCTCTTGCCCAAGGAGGTTCCTGACTACTTGGCAGAAAACACCAATAAGCAGGAACACACACAGAGGCCATGGCACAACATCACCACAGACAAGTAAAAGCAAGCCCTGGGAATGCAGGCCAGCAGTTGAGCTAATGGGCACCTACCTCCAAGAACACAGAAGGGTGTCATCTTGTTGGGGCTGCAGGATGCCCGTGTGAATCAAGGCCAATGCCCACACGTACCCTGCCAGGCTCTGCTCAAGGAGGGGACAGGGCAGGGTTTGCCCTCTTTACCAATACACAGCAGTCTTGGGCCTGCACCCCAATCTTGCTCATTACTCAGAAGAACAGGACCCCACACCAGCTCCCCAGTGAAGAATGAAGCACATGTCAGCAGCCAGGGTCTGCCTGGCCAGTTGGCTCTGCGAGCTGCTACTTGTGGGCCCCTCCCTGGGGCGCGTGGTGGCCCAGGCAGCGGCAGTTCCTCAGCACCTGCAGCCTGGGGCTCTGCCCTCTATAGCCTTCGTGTTCCTCAGGTCTGATGACTAGACCAGCCCAAACACACGATATCCTGAATGTAATGGGACCCTAACTTTTCAAGAGTTACTTTAAAAAAGTTGTTCCTTCAGTAGGGAAATTAGGAAGGAAGGAAAATTCTCTAAGCACTATGTGCCAGGCCCTGGGCTAGAAGCTTTACAGATATTATATCACAGTAACGTGGATCTGCCTGACCCCCATCTTCAAGAGAGCTAAAGCTCAGGAAGGCGACACATGTAGCCCAAAGCGACGTGGCCAGAGGTGGGACTGGGGCTTTCCCAACTGGGCCCTAGGGGCTGCGTATGCTAGGGCATGGGGTGTGGCTGAGAGACGGCTGGGTCCCCGACAGTGAGCCTGGGAGCAGCCCTGGTGCCAGCCAGCCTGAGCAGCAGGAGCGACCTGCCGCCCCTGTGCTGAAGACTGTGAATTCTCTTTTAAAGAACATCACCTTGCTCCCCAGCTGCCAGCATCCAGGGTTTCGTCTTGGGCCAACACCTTCCCAGGCTCCCTCACTTGTTCCCTCCCTTCCCTTCTCGCTCACACTGTCCTTTCTGCTCCCCTTTGGCCTCATCCGTGGCCTGAACCCGGGACGCCATCCTCGCGTCCTTCCACATCAGACTCCAAGCCTGCCTTTCCCAACTGCAGCAAAAACTCATCATCTCAACACCACTCACCCTGGCCAGGATTCGCCCAGAGCCCATTTCCTCATTTCTAAAACAGACACTAATTCCGACTAGAGAGGGAGGATATGAAGGGAAACCTAATTCTGAATCTATACTGATTAAGGGCACCGATGGTCAGGGTCCAAGAGCCCTTTTTTCCCTGGGATGCACTCATTTCTTTCTTTTTTTTTTTTTTTTTTGAGATGGAGTCTCACTCTGTCGTCCAGGCTGGAGTGCAGTGGCACGATCTCAGCTCACTGCAAGCTCCACGTCCCGGGTTCATGCCATTCTCCTGCCTCAGTCTCCCGAGTAGCTGGGACTACAGGCGCCCACCACCACGCCCGGCTAATTTTTTGTATTTTTAGTATTTTAGTGTTTTAATTTTTTGTATTTTTGTATTGTTAGCCAGGATGGTCTCGATCTCCTGACCTCGTGATCTGCCCGCCTCCCAAAGTGCTGGGATTATAGGCGTTAGCCACTGTGCCCGGCCTGGGATGCACTCATTTCTTTAACACAGACTCACTTGGCACTAGCATAGTTACATGCCCCGCTCTGGGCTAGGCTTTGATGGTGCAAAGACAGACGTGGTCCCTGCCCTAATGGAGCTTACAGTCTAGTGGAGAGACAGGTAGTAAACAAGTAAATGATCTGAAATTGTGGTGATGCTAGGATGGCTGCAAGCGAGGAGGGGGGCAATGGAGACAAGGATTTAGAAAGGGAAAGGCTTCTCTGAGGAAGTAGGATTTAAGCTGAGACCCAGGAGATGGGAGCCTGTTTTCAACATGAAGATGGGGAGCCAAAGTGTTTCCAGCACAAGGAACTGTGTGTGCAGAAGCCCAGAGGAAGGAAGCCTGGTCCCTGAGGAGCTGGAGGCAGCCAGGGGCCTGGAGAGTCACCTGAGACTTCCATAGGGCTCTGGAAGGCAAGGTGAGATGTCTGGGCTTTGTGTGGAAGATGACAAGAATCTCTGACGTAGAGAAGGGACAGGACTGGAGGGAGGCCTAATGAAGATTGCACTTGGCTGCTGAGCAGTGGCAGGGAGGCGGGCACTATAGCAGCCACAATGCCTGGGCTGGGGCTGGTGGGGAAGGAAAGTGGACAGACTCAGGCTCTCCTCTGGAGGTGTAACCCTGGACTGCCTCTGGACCAGTTTGGGGAAAGGGGAACTCTAGAATGTGACATTCATGCATACACACAAATGGACTGTGTGATGTCCAGCTCCAGGGGCAGGGGGGCCACGCCCCGTTCCCTGCCTTGCTCAGCGTCCATCCATGGCTGTTCTGTGCAGGGTACATAGCATCCAGGATGCAGCATTAGCCCTGATCAAGGTTATGCTTCCCATGTGCTGGACCACAGGGCCTGTTAGGGCAAGCTGGGGCCTCCTTGTTTAATTCACGACAGGAGGAAGAGCTGGGTATAGGGACTCCACTGTCAAAAGCCCTGCCAACCAATGACACAAGCCAGCAAGGCAACCCCCTTGGCACAAAGAGACAGTGGGCAACCACGGGCCTGCAGAAGGACTTTTCCCCTCCGCACTCCTGGCGAGGGTCAGGTACCAGATACCTCACAGGCTGGGAGGCAGGGGCGGCATCTTTTAACCCCAAGCCTTGGGTATTTTTTGCTATAAGAGACAGCTGCAGGGTCCAATCTGCTGCCTTGACCCCTCCAACTCCCAAGAGAAACCCACAGCTAGGCATGGCAGATCAACGGGCTGAGAGCCAGTGTGCTGTGCTGGCACTTAGAGACATTTCCCAATGGAATCTCAAAAGGTTGGCACTGCTATTCCTGTTTTTACAGAAGAAACCGAAGTACAGAGACATGGAGTAGTCTGATCTTAGTCACACAGCACCTATCATATCACTCTGTCAGAACATGGCGCACTAGGAGGCAGACACACACGCACATTCGCTGTCTGTTCCCTGCCTTGTCAGGGCACCCAATAATGGTGGCTCTCTGTCCCCAGCATGGGGCCCAAGATGAGTCCTCCTTTAGTCAGAGGTGTGATTCTATCCCCAGTCACCAGGGCTTCTACCACAAATGAAGGACGGTGACCACCCTCAATGTCACTGCTGAACTGGGAAACCAGGAAAAGCTATATGCCTTGTGGGAACAGCACATAAAAAACATTTCAGATGGACAGGACTGGATGCAGTGAGTCCATCCTCTCCCTCCAAGAGCTGAATGGAATGGTTCAACCTCAATGGACCTGAGACGACTCTCTTCAATGGGTGAGGCCACTTCATCACTGTGCTTCAACCCAGAAGGATGAAGCTCATTGTTCTGTTCAAGAGTTGGCCGGGCGCCGTGGCTCACGCCTGTAATCCCGGCACTTTGAGAGGTCAAGGCGGGAAGATCACTTGATGTCAGGAGTTCAAGGCCAGCCTGGGCAACATGGTGAAACCCCATCTCTACAAAAAATACAAAAATTAGCTGGGCGTGGTGGTGCACACCTGTAGTCCCAGCTACTCGGGAGGGCTGAGGCGGGAGAATCGCCTGAACCCCAGAGATGGAGGTTGCAGTGAGCCGAGATCGTGCCCCTGTACTCCAGCCTGGGCGACAAAGTGAGAATCCGTCTCCAAAAAAAAAAAAAAAAAGAGTCAAGGGCCCTGACAGCTAGGAAGGAAGGCCCAAGAATGACTAGAGAGGAACAGATGAACAAAATCCCCAGGAGATTTGTCCACCAGGCCCAGGGCCTGAACTTTCTTTTTCTCAAACACAGATGCAATTCCAGGACAAAAACAAAAAACACTTAAGCTCTTTCCTTAACCAGGTCTTCTAGGACACATTCCAGGAATACGCATCGTGGTCCCCTACAGAACTTGACTCTAACCATCTTGGCCTGTGCTGGCACAGGGGTGACAATGGGAAGGCACAGTGACACCCTCAGGAGCGTAGGGACATGCAGGAGGGCCAACAGAAACAGTCCTTTCAAAACCACGCAATGCAATGGCTGCCTTGTCCTAAGGGCTAATCCCAGGAAAAGGAGCAGGCAGTGCTGCCCAGCAGGTTCTGGAAAACCAGCAGCCACTCGCTGATGGTGGCAATGTACTCCAAGTCCAAGAGGCTTCATTTGCTCATCTGGTTCCTCTGACCCAGGAACACATGGAATGGCTTCCACCCACCTCCCCACTTTGCTCTGATCCCTTCACTGCCAGCCCTACTCCCCGGAAGAGGAAAGAGAAAGGCACCACACTCAACGCTCTATCAAGAAGGCACTCAGCAGCCCCCACTTGACTTCTCAAATGGCGTGGCAGCCGAGGGGCCTTCTCCGGAAATTAGTAGTGGTAACAAGGAGGAGGGCACGTTCCAGAAGGTGGTCAGGCACATGGTGGTGCCGGAAGGGACACGTCTAGCGTAGCTGTGTGAGTCAAACTCCTGAGGTCGACACAGAAGTCCTCCCATTTGAGAGAAATGACCCCTCAATGAATATTTCTGAGACAACTAGTCCTCCTGCCCCATCCTGTAGCAGCAAGTGCCACAAGGTACATTTTGGTTTTTCTTTTCTTTACAACCTATTTCCCTTCATGCCTCAGTGACGCAGGGAGGGTGAAGGAGCAGCATGGAGCTCAGAGGCCTGCAGCTTCTAGAGACCCCAAGTCCTATCATCCTGTTTTCACAGATGCCTGCCAAGAGGGCCGTGACCACAATAATCCCACACAAACTCACAGCAAGCACAACTCAATCACAAGAATTTTTTTTCTTTTTTTGAGACAGGGTCTCACTGTGGCCCAGGCTGGAATGTAGCGGCACGATCATGGCTCACTGCAGCCTCAACCTCCAGGTTTGATCAAGTGATCCTCCCAGCTCAGCCTCCTGAGTAGATGGGACTAAAGGCATGTACCACCACGCACGGCTAATTTTTTTTTTTTTTTTTAATGTAGACACAGGGTCTCACTGTTGCCCAGGCTGGTCTTGAACTCCTGGGCTTAGGCGATCCTTCTGCCTCAGCCTCCCAAAGTGCTGGCATTACAGGTATGAGCCACCATGCCCAGCCTCGAGATTTTTAAGAGTAAAATTAAATCAGATGCTAGAGTCTACTAAATCTTTGAGGATTTTTCTTTCCTTTGTACTTCTGCAAAAAGGAATCCTTCATAATACTGGAAAAAAAAGATTTCTAATAACAAAACCCAAGAGTTCTGTTGTTTTCAAAGGAAAACACACCATAAGCTTTACAGAAATGTAGTAAATTAAAAAGAAGAGACCTTTGACTGGAACCCTTTCTGAGACGGGGGAAAGAGCAGGGGCTACTGGCAAGAGATGCCCTGCCCAAGAAAGAGACCTAAAAGCCTGTTGTGTCCACTCACAAGGCCACCCCTGGCCAGCTGTGCCCTGAAGGGCTGCCTTCAGGAACAGTCACCCTGCACCCCATTGGCAGTGGACAGTTTAGAAGCCCCCACTCCTTTCCACAGATAATCTGGGGAGCTAAGTAACCAATGGAAGAACACTGCATCCACCTGGCGTTGTCATCCACAGGATGAAATGCTGGTGGCAGAGCATAGAGCGAGCAGGAGGGCAGAGGCAACGACGCCTGCTGGGAGCCGGGCAGGATGCAGGGAGCCCGGTGGCCCCGACTCACCTGTGCTTGCTGTCCTTTCCATTCCCACGAGCACACTGCCCCCCTCACCCCCGCTCCGACTGCTCTGTGCTGAGGCTGCCTTTCGCGGTCTTGTTCTGCAAGGGGGGGAGAGGGCACGGAAGGGGAGGCTGACACGGGCAAAACCAAGAGGAGACAGACAGGTGGGAGAGGACAGTGCAGAAATCAGGGAGGGCAAAGGGAGGACAGGAGTGGCACATGGAAAAGGAAAGAAAAGGCAGAGTCAGTCCTGACCGACAAACAGGAGACATTCAGACAGGGTTTTCTGAGGCAAAATGTGACCCTTAAAAAGGGGAGTTCTAAAAATAACATGCAAATTAAGTAAAAATAAAGAGAATATAAGATCCTGTGACCACTCCCCGCCCTTCCCCAGAAATAATTTTTAAAGAAAAGCATAAGCAAGCATCTTTCAGGAGCATTTTGAGGGCAGACCTCTCTGGACAACCTCCTTCTAGTACTTTCGGCCCTACTAGATTTAAGACTGCGAGTGACCAGTGACCACCAGGTGTCAGTGTGACCTCAGCCAGAGACACAGTGCAGCCCCTGCAGGAAACATCAGGTGGCAGTGGTCTCCGTTCTGATCCTTTCTTGGGGCTCCTTCTCCATATACACCCTCCCCACACACATATGTGGTATCCACAAACAGACCATTCACCCCTTACCTCCCACCCTTTCTAAAGGAAGCGACCACGAGACCACCTCCTAAATAAACTGGGAAGTGGAGCCCGAGACAGCCCATCCACTGTGCATCAGGCTGCTTCTGCAGAAGCACAACCTGGAAGAGACTGAGCTTCCCCAGAGCCTTGTGGTCAGCTCGACTTCTAGTCTGGGAAGATGCCTTTGCACAGGCCTCAAGGCCTAGAACCAGACTTACCAAACGCCAACCTGTGAATTGGGGTTCTATTCACCTCAAGTGGAAATCAGTGGCTTGATCGAGTTAGATATTCTCACCTCTCTTAATGAACAGACAAACACCCCCTCTCCCAAAACACATTTCTCCTGGGATCCTCATAATACTCCGAGTGCTGGCCCCCATGCCACGGGTCTCCCTTCAGCATCATGCCCCTCCACCCTCCCAGGGCCAGGAGGGGACTAACAGCCGGAGGCACAGGTGGGGACAGGTGTGGGTGAGGCCCACCAACACCTGGTCTTCAGGTCTTTCAGGAGGAGCCACCCTCGATCCCATCCCTGCTGGTAGCTCTTGGGGCCTCTGACTCACCTTGTGCTTAGGGCACCTCACCGAGAAGTTCTCCTCATGTAGCAAACAATCTGGAAGACAGAAGGGGACAGTCAGATGGAGACTTCACAGCTGGACATAGGTGTGGTCATGCTGGCTGGGATTGACAGGGTCAGACATAAAGGTAGCAGGTCGCTACACTTACTTCTAATAGGAAAACATTAGAGACAACCCAAGTAAGCTATGATACCTTAACATGATGGATATCGGTCACTTAAAAATTAACATTTGAAAAGAGTTAATGGTATGGAAAACACCCATGAAACAAAACTGCTTGAAAAAACCAGGATGTACAAATGTATAAATGTGCTAATTTTATTAAAATGTTTCTACGCATTAAAAAAAGACTTGGGGCTGGGTACCATGGCTCACACCTGTAATCCCAGCACTTTGGGAGGCCGAGGCAGAAAGATCACTTGAATCCAAGAGTCAAGACCAGCTTGCGCAACACAGTGAGATCCTGTCACTATTAAAAAAAAAAAAAAAAATACTGAAAGGCTGGGTGTGATGGCACTTGCCTATAGTCCCAGCTACTTGGGAGGCTGAGGTGAGAAGACTGCTTGAGCCCAGGAGTTCAGACTGCAGTAAGCTACTATCACATCACTGCACTATAGCCTAGGCAAGCAAAACTGTCTTAAAAAAAAAAAAAACTACTTGGGAGGCTGAGGCAGGAGAATCACTTGAACCAGAGAGTCGGAGGTTGCAGTGAGCCGAGATCACACCACTGCACTCCAGCCTGGTGACAGAGCGAGACTCCGTCTCAAAAAAAAAAAAAAAAAAAAGACTGAAAGGAAATCTATGAATATGTAACAATAATTCTCTTTGGGTAAGAAGATACAGCTGATTTAAATTTTATCTTTTCTATATTCCCACGATATCACCAATAAATGCTATTTTAAAAATCCTTGATTCTAGGCTAACCCCATTTCTCAGGCTCAAGCCAAAGCCTCCTTGTAAAAACACTTTAAAATCTAGACGCGTATTTTCTTCTCTGTACAGAGAATGCCCAGGTGTCTGAGACAGAAAGGTGGCCAGGCCCAAGAGCCCCACTGTCACCTTTGCCCCACGACCCACGGAGACACAGAAGCCTCCAACACAAATCACATAATCCACACTAAATGCTTCAGAGGAAGGTAAAATCCCATGAGGATGCTTTTAATCCTTGGAGGAAAAATGATTCATTCCAACTTGTAACATGATGACAGCATCCTGGATGGCAGCAAGGACACATCTGCCTCCAGGTGAGCTGAGCTCTCACACAAGGGTAGTGCATGGATCAGGGCAAGGAAATCTAATTAATGAGTTCACTCTGCACACCACAGCTCCTGGAGACCGACAGCCAGGTCACTGGTGCAAAACGCGGTGGCAGAATGTTAATAAATATTGATAACACATTCTCAGAGAGCTCCCAGGCACCATGGCAGGAGGCAGCCACGGTACTTATCCTTGTTAAATTTAAACTGAGATCCAGACTAGCAGCCTGTGCACCCACAGATTTCAAGTGCAATAGTAATAAGCAATGAACATACACATGAAAACTTTTCAGGTCCCGGTATCCTAAAACAAATCAAAAAGACCCTTTTATATTTGGCCAGACCTGGAACATCATAGCCTGTCTTTCGTTGGAGCCCATGAGTATCTAAGAGAGTGGGCGGCAGCCTTCTTGGCTCCGTGGGCCCAAGAGCTCAGCAACTTACTACTAACCTCCAAGCCCCTCCCCCAGCAAGCAACTAGCAAGGCAATAAATGAAATGTGTTAATTTAAAACCCACAAGTACATAGTGTGACCAAGACTCCCGCTGCTCCAATCTGCCAGAGAGTTTATAAACAGCAGGAGCCAGACAACTGGAGCTCAGGGGATATGCTCTCTTCTTACCTGGGCTCTGGCAGCAAGCACTATGCTGGCTTAGTCTCTAGTTTGGGCCAAACAGAAACAGTACAGCACACGTGGGGCTGGGCCACGCTTACGCCACAGGGGTTTATACCAGTGAGGACAGGGACCACACGAGCAGCAAAGGGTGCCATCAGAAAGGCGCAGGTGGCTCAGTTCCCTCACGGCCACAGAACAGTGACCAGCTGTGATGGACCATTAATAAAACACGCCTCATGTTAGGAAATGCGTTCCCTCTGAGTTAGAAGCAGAAAAGAGTAAGACACTATGAATGCACGCTAACGACAACTTGAAACTAATGCCAGATACATCTGGAAATGAAGTCTCCTACAGCAATCTGCCTGAGGCAGTGTCCATCTCTGACAAGGCCTCCCATGCAGGAACACTGTGCAGACAATGCCCTCCTCTGTTCTCATACATGTCCACAGGCCGTCAGGAAGCACAATTCACGTTCCTGGCAGGGGCCAGAACCACAGCTAGAGAGCTCAGAAACCTGGAGGGCACAGGGGAGCTTCTCCTCTTACCAGTCCCTGCTGGGAGGGAAGAGTGAAGAGCAGTAGGTGTAGTAAAACCTCTTCTGAGGACTCTGAACAGGCAACTGCACCTACATGGCCAGCCAGTCAAGGTCTCTCAATCTGTGTTCTTCAAGGCCCAGGCACCATCCTACACTGTCCAGAGGGCGCAGTCAGCACTTCTGCATAGTGAAGTCAAAGTAAACAGCTTGCGAGATCATCATCCAAGCTCAAAAAGACCTACAAGGTGGCCTAGTCAACAAGATGGCTTGCAGACACAAACATCAACCCCCAGAAGAGAAGGCCACTTTCATTTCCCTCTTCAAGCTCAAAGGCAGAATGGATTTACTAAGCTCCTCATTATAAGCTCTGTGAAGCTTCAGATACCCACATGCATCCACATGCTCCCAGGCTGAGGATGGTGGGCTCAAGGAGGGAGGTAGGAAAAACAAGAAGGGTTTAATGTCCTTTGGATCTGTTGTGTAGCAGACACAGACTCCAATTCACCTACACTCTACCCCAGTACTACTGTTATTCCTTATGTTGGCACACTGCAGGGCTTGGGACACAGGGGCCTGCCAGCCCCACCCTGCCTTGCCGAAGGGTAGGCTCAGGCTCCTGGGCCATAAGGAGGGAAATATGGGGCTCTTGGCACTGGGACTGGCTCCTGTGAGGCAGACGGCTGTCCCCCGGGGAGGAGTCAGACTACTGGCATTTCCTAATGACCCATCCAGGGCTCTGATGGCACCAGCAAGATCAAAGTCTGCAGCAGAGATAGCAGCTTTAAAATGCTACTGCAACGAGAGCTGCAGAAAGTAGAATTCCCAGCTGTTTTTTCATGAGAGTAGAAGAAAAAAAAAAAACCCTCCACACAAGGTTCTTTACGCACAGTGGAATTATTAATGAGCTACCACAGCCTTTTTTTCTCGTCTTAATTGTTGTGGCTCATTGCATTAAATACATTAATTAAAAAAAAAAAAAAACAGAGCTCATGCTCTTATTACTGTAACCCCCCCCACCTGGAGCCAAATCCTGTGCCTATGACATAACAAGCAACACAAAACAGCTGACCATGATGTCAGAAATGCAGGGTCAACATCAGGTGGGGGGGAAGGTGGCAGGAGTCACAGATCATGAAACAAAGATTCTGTTTCTATGGAGATGTCCCAGTAATAAAAGTCTTCCCTGAGACATCAACAGCTCTTTAAAGATCTGGGTGGGTTGACAGCAAGGCAGAGATGAAAATGTTAAACTGCTCTTTACTCCATAAGGGAGGTTAGGGATTCTCAAACCAAGGACTTATTTTTGTTATGATTAGAAAGAAAAGTCCATCAATAAACTTGTTTCCTGGATACAAAGTTACATCATACACAGAGAGCAATTTCCAAGAAGACTGTGTGGAATAATACAAGCGTCCATCCCCACAGAGCAGTGCAGGCCTCTGGGTCACTGTGACTTGGGTCATCAAAAAGACCGCAATGACCAAGACATGGTCATCTTGTGAAACTGCCTCTGGGTCCCAGGTCTCCACATGAAGGAGCAAAGTGCACAGCAGCAGAGGCAGCAAAGCCAGAGGCCGACAGCCCTACCCTCACTCCTCCCAACCCAGACCCCTCTGTCTTGCTGGACACGCGGCCACCAACTTCTGTTAAATAGAGATGCTACCAGCTTAACTAGGCAGGCTACCAAGATGGGCCCCAAAACAGAAAATGACAGACACCATTTACTCACAAGTCCTCAGCTAATAATGAGGGTCCTGCGCTTCTCTGCTGGTGGGCTGGGGTGACAACCTGGGCACAAGCTTCCACTAGAGGAGAGGATGTTCCAGTGCTCTATGGCCCCTTCCAAAAAATCCCAACCATATTGCCTGAACTTGGGTTGAGGAGGGTAGCTCTAAGCCTGTGCTGTTCAGCCACTAGCCATACATGGCCACTTAAGTTTACATTAAAAAAAAAAATTCATTTCCTCAGTCCCACTAGCACTCAATGATCACATCTGGTTTGTGGTTACCACATTGGAGAGTGCTGAGCTAGAGCGTTTCCATCATTGCAGTATGTTAGGCTGAGCTTTGCTGCTTGACATCTTAGAAGCTGGACCAGAAGGCAGGCTATCAGCAGAACGGGGGCAGCCTCCAGGGGGGCCCTTGCTGAAGTGTGCTCGGGTGGGATGTGGCACCGGCCTGTCAGCACACCCTAATGTGTCCCTGAACACAGCCTCAGTGGGGGACCACTTCTTACCCAGCTGCGAACTGGGAGAGCCAAAACTCACAGTATTCCCAATATAAAACTAACAATCAACCATAAAAAAACTTAATACTTAAAAATCCTCATATATAGCTGGGCATAATGGTACATGCCTGTATTCCCAGCTAGTTGGGAGGATCGCTTGAGCCTAAGAGTTTGAGTCCAGCCTGGGCAACACAGTGAGACCCTGTCTCAAAAAAAATTTTTTTTTTTTTCACTTAAAAGCCATTTTCTTGGCCAGGCGCGGTGGCTCACGCCTGTAATCCCAGCACTTTGGGGGGCCAAGGTGGGCAGATCACAAGGTCAGGAGATCGAGACCATCCCGGCTAACACGGTGAAACCCCGTCTCTACTAAAAACAGAAAAAATTAGCCGGGCGTGGCGGCGGGCGCCTGTAGTCCCAGCTGCTGGGGCGGCTGAGGCAGGAGAATGGCGTGAACCCGGGAGGCGGAGCTTGCAGTGAGCCGAGATCGCGCCACTGCACTCCAGTCGGGGCAACACAGCGAGACTCTGTCTCAAAAAACAAAAAAAAAAAGCCATTTTTTTCAACTAGAAACAAAACTTTATATTACTGCTCCCCCTCTTTCCTGGCCACTAGACTACAGGGAAGAAAACACAATATTACGATGTAACTAGAGGTAATGAAAATGAGAAAAGGCAACTGGTTGGCTCTTTTAAAAACTTATTTTTATTTGAACAGACCTGTTCTTGCTATGTTATCCAGGCTGAACTTGAACTCCTGGCCTCAAGTGATCCTCTAGCCTCAGCCTCCCGAGTACCTGAGATTACAGGTGTGAACCACCATACCTAGTTAACTGGTTAGCTCTCTTTCTTTTTCTTTTGAGACAGAGTCTCGCTCTGTTGCCAGGCTGGAGTGCAGTGGCGTGATCTCAGCTCACTGCAACCTCCACCTCCCGGGTTCAAGCGATTCCCCTACCTCAGCCTCCCAAGTAGCTGGGACTACAGGCACGCGCCACCACACCTGGCTAATTTTTCATATTTTAGTAGTGACAGGGTTTCACCATGTTGGCCAGGCTGGTCTCAATCTCCTGACCTTGTGATCCGCCCACTTCGGCCTCCCAAAGTGATGGGATTACAGGTGTGAGCCACCGTGCCTGGCCCAACTGGTTAGCTCTTGAAAGAGAAGGATTTAACAGCTGTACTACAGAATATGGCAGACCATGACCCAGGGTAAATTACACCTTAGACTCAACATGAAAACATTTGGAGGAAAAAAGAGAACAGAAGGGATGGACTAAAACCCAAACTCCCTGAACTGACATTTCAAGGCTACTTCATTTTTGTTTTGAGATAGGGTCTCACTCTGTTGCCCAGGCTGGAGTGCAGTGGCCCAACTGAGGGTCATGCAGCCCCTCCTGGGTCCTTCCATCTCAGCCTCCCTGGGTAGCTGGGACTACAGACAAGGGCCACCACGCCTGGCTAATTTTTTGTATTTTTTGTAGAGACAGGGTTTCACCATGTTGGCCAGGCTGGTCTCGAACTCCTGGGCTCAAGCAATCCTCCCACCTCAGCCTCCGAAAGTGCTGGGATTACAGGTGTGAGCCACCACACCTGGCACTCTGTTTCTGATTCCCTATCTTTCCGTTGATCAAATAGTGCCTTGGCCATCAAGCTGCCTTTCAGTCCACATGTACGTGTGAATACACACACTTTTGTAATAGTCTAACTGGCATCAGCATTATCTTCTCTACCTCTCTTGTTCTTTTTAACTGTTTCTCCTACAGAAGCTTGGAGAGAAAAGAGGGAAGGGGGAGGTAAGGGCAAGAAGGATGTGAAAGGAATGGAGACATATGCTTAAACAAAAGTCAGGAGCTGCAAGCAACTGCTGCGCTGGAAGGAAGGGGGGGGCAGGATGAATTCTGAGACCTGATCCAAGTCTGTTGGCCCTGCTCTGTGTATGTTATGCCTCACGCCTGTTCCCATCATGCAGTCAGCCACGCCCTCTTCCCCTTCCCATCAAATTCAAATCAAACCCCGCCTCCTATGGACAGCGTGGCTGCCTCCGTGGACAGCCCTGCTTCTCTCCTGGGGAAGCACAGAGAGGGGGCATGCACATGACAAGCACCATGCTACTTGCTGCCTTCTCTCACCACTTTTCCTCAAACGTGACCACAGGCATTATGGGGGCTGCCTGGGTGATGGTCTTAGATACATCTAATGCTCAAGTAACTAGAGGACATTATGTCAAGTGAAATAAGCCAGGCACGGAAAGTTAAAAGCTGCATGTTCTCGCTCATGTGGAAATTTAAAAAGCTGATCTTACGGAAGTATTAAAAAGTAGAACAGAGGATACTAGAGGCCAGGAAGGGGAAAGGAAAGGAAGAGATAAGTAGAGATTTGTTAAAGAATACAAAATTACATCTAGATGGGAGAAATAAGTTCTAGTATTCTGTATCACTGTAGGATAACCACAGTTAACAACATTATATTGTATAGTTTCAAATGACTAGAAGATACCAAATGTTCCCAACACAGACATGTTGTTTGAGACGATGGATTTGCTAATTACCTAGGTCTGATCATTTTATATATATATTGAAACATTACTGAGCACCCCATATCTACAATTACTGTCCATTAAAAAAAGTAAAAAACGCTGGGCGCGGTGGCTCACGTCTGTAATCCCAGCACTTTGGGAGGCTGAGGTGGGTGGATCACCTGAGGTCGGGAGTTTGAAACCAGCCTGGCCAACATGGCAAAACCCCGTCTCTACTAAAAATACAAAAATTAGCCGGGCATGGTGGTGGGCGCCTGTAGTCCCAGCTACTCGGGAGGCTGTGGCAGGAGAATCACTTGAATCTGGGAGGCAGAGGTTGCAGTGGGCTGAGATCATGCCATTGTACTTTAGCCTGGGCGATAAGAGCGAAACTTCGTCTCAAAAAGAAAAGTAAAAAACTTAATAAACTTGAAATTAACACCCACCTTGCCGCCAAAAAAGTAACTGGGGAAAACACCCACTGAAGGGACTAAAAGTCTAGAGTAAGAAAGGTGATTTTCCCAGGTTATCGAAGCTCTGAGTCAAAACTCAAGTCTTCTGCGTCACTCATTGGATGGCACTTCTTTAACAAAATGTTTCCCTTCTTTCAACAGTTAACACACTGCAAAACATCCCCCTATCATCTCAGCAAAGAAAATACAACACTCTATTGTATGTATACAACGTACTGTGATTTAGAGTAAGAAATACATATTTTAGTCTTCATCCCTGATTCCTGGCACAGACCTCCTAAAACCCGTGTAAATTCCTGAGCAATTAGGGGTGCTAGGAGCATCTTTTCTTCTAATATTTGGTTTTTGATCCTGGTTCCTGACATGGAGCTCCTAAACCCTTGGAATTTCCTGGATAGGAGCACTTTTTGTTCTAAGGCTACTCTTGGTGGTTCCTGGATGGGGGCTGGGCACCAGAGAGACGAAGCTGTGATTAGCAGCTTGGAACTGTTAGCTCTACCCACCCCACTCCAGGAAGGACAGAGGGGGTGAAGATTGAGTTAATAATTGATTATGCCTACATGATGAAGCCTCCAAAAAATCCGTGAACTACTGGATTCAGAGGGCTTCTGGACTGCTGAGTAGATGAAGGTGCCTCAGGGGTGGTGCCCCTGGAGAGAGCATGGACGCTCCATGCCCCTGCCCACACATCTGGCCCTATGTTTCTTTCATGTGGCTGTTCATCTGCATCCTTTATAATGGGTAAACACAAGTGAAGTGTTTCCGTGAATTCTGTGAGCCATGTTAAACATTAATCAAACCCAAGGAAGCGGTCTTGGGAACCCCAGTTTATAGTTGATCACTCAGAAACACAGGTCATAACACAGGGCTTGAGATTGGTATATGAAGTGGGGAGCGGTCTTGTGGGACTGAGCCCTTAACCTGTAGGGGCTGCACTAACTCTGCTTAGTATCAGAACCAAGCTAAACTATAGGACACCCAGTTGGTGTCCAATGGTGAATTACCTGTGTGATGCTATCAAGAAAAGAAAGTAAAAAGACAACTCAGAGAATGGAAGAAAACATTTGCAAACCACATATCCAGAATTACAAATAATTCTTTTTTTTTTTTTTTTTTTTTTGAGACAGAGTCTCACTCTGTTGCCCAGGCTGGAGTGCAGTGGCGTGATCTCGCAACCTCTGCCTCCCGGGTTCAAGTGATTCTCCTGCCTCAGACTCCCGAGTAGCTGGGACTATAGGTGCGCGTCACATCTGGCTAATTTTTGTAGTTTTAGTAGAGACGGGGTTTCACTATTTTAGCCAGGCTGGTCTTGAACTCCTGACCCCATGATCCACCTGCCCGGCCTACAAATAATTCTTAAAACTTGACATTAAAAAGATAAACAACCCAATTTTACAATGGGCAAAGGATGTGAATAGCTATTTCTCCAAAGAAGATGTACAAATGGCCAATAGGCACAAGAAAAAAATGCTCGACATTAGCCATCAGGGAAATACAAATAAAAACCACAATGAAATAACATTTCATACCCACTGGGCTGGCTACAATTAAAAAAAAAAAAAAAAAGAAACACATATGACAGCAAGTGTCAGGGAGGACCTGGGGAAAGGAGAACACTCATGCACTGCCACTGAGAACGTAAAATGGGGCAGCCATTTTGGAAAACAGTCTGACAGTTCCTTAAAAGGTTAAACAGAGTTACCATATGATCCAGCAATTCTACTCCCAGGTACACATCCAAGAGAACTGAAAACATGTTCACACAAATGCTTGCATGTGAATGTTCTATAGCAGCATTATTCATAACAGTCAAAAAGTGGAAGTAACCCAAATGTACAGCAAAGCCCACAGAGATAGAAAGGATTGAGTCCAACAGAGCTTAAAGGGAAAAAAAAATCATAAAAATTTAAAAAAGAAAACAGAATAGTGGTTGCCAGGGACTGGAGGGAAGGGAAGGGAGATGAGTGCTGCTAATGGGTGGGAAGTTTTTTTATGAAGTGACAAAAAAAAAAAAAAAAAAAAGAAAAGAAAAGAAAAAAAACAACGACAACAGAGAGAATCAAACTGTATGTCCTAATCCTTTGGATGCTCTGGACAAGGGTCTGTGGTCTCCTCTTACCTGCATCAATGGCACACGGGTAATGGTATCGGAAGGAGCAGCCTTTGTTGTAGCAGCCCAAGGTGGCGCCTGCCTCCTGGCAGTGGGAACATTTCTGAAAGGAAGGGAAAAGTCAGGCATGTCAGTATCCCAGATTTGGCCCTCTCCTCCAGGCCTTCCCTGGTCCCCATCTGTTAGACCTCAGCACGTGTCTCTGTGGTTAGAGGAGTCCGTGGTGGCAGGATGAGCTGGTCAATTTCTAAATGCCATTCACTGACCACACCATGGGAAGGGATCCAGCAATAATGTTTTAGACCAAGCCTCACAAATGTTCTCAAATCAACAATACAGCAGGGTGAGATGAGCAATCCATGTCATAAAGGACATGCCAGAGTGGGGTCCCCAGCCCTGCCTCTGGTACCCCCGCCATCCACCCACCCACACACTATGCCAGGCATTTCCTTGCTGCTATCGTGAGCGGCCTGCAGATCTTCCCTGTTTACTTCTGCTGTGAAAATCTGGGGTAAGAGAGGGTAAGGTAGTAGAGTTATATATAAACCTTTTAGAATTAGAAGTGGAATTTGGTTTCTAGTTCTTGTATTTGTAAGAAGATTTTATTTTTATTTTTGATCTACTTACCCCAAATGCCCAATACATTTCCCTTTTCAGAAAATATGGGCTCCTGTGTGCAAATGGTATTTTTATACATGAATCTTATTTTAAATGCACCAGAAAACCTGCCATGAATTTCTGGCTAAGTGAGACATTATTTTGTAATTGAGACACTCCTCCTTATATGGTCAGGTTTTCTTAAAGTGGGGCACATCTCTGTCAGCCCTGTGATGTGGCTGCTGTGAGTGCTCATCCTGTCAGGTAAGAAATGTGTCCTATCAGCAACAAACACATTCATAAAACTCAACCACATGTGACCCTACTAAGGATGCTGGCTCTTCAGATAGCAGAGGCACACAACCAGCAAGACTAGCTGGAAGAGACAGAAACTTGTTCCTGCTTCTATGAAAAATAAAAGTGTTCCCTAAGCAATTACACTGAGCTGGCTCAGGCCCCCGACACAGATACTGATGGAAAACTACACTAACGCCAGCAACAGCAAAGCCCAAGCGCTCGCCACGCTCAGACTGAATGATCTCATCCAGCCCTCTGCACTATTCCACCTGGCAGGCACTCCTAATGCTTCACGTGAAACTCTTGAGACACCAAAGGGAAAATAACTTGTTCCAGGTCAGAGCTGAGATTCTGGATGATCATCTCTGGCATCCTCCAGAGACAAAAGAGGTAGGAACAAGGGCTGGAAGAGATTAGTCCTTCAAAAGCTTTGCCCTGCTCTCAGAAGATCAAGGTCCTTCTGGGTGCCCATAATCAGTAAATGTTTATCATGTGCCCTCGCACCCTTGTTAAGAGAGAAAAGATCATTTGGTCTGGAGTAAACCAAGGACAAGTTCACAGCATTTCTAGTAGCCCTAGACTCTGTCGACCTTTGTCAGTGCCACAGAGCATCTCAGAATCAAAAGGACTATCAACTTCAGAGAAGGGAGTGTGGGTAGTCCATCGGTGGCCAACCTGCAGCCATGTCTGCTGCCACTTTCTTTTTTTGAGATGGAGTCTTGCTTTGTCGCCCAGGCTGGAGTGCAGTAGCGCAATCTTGGCTCACTGCAACCTCTGCCTCCCAGTTTCAAGCCATTCTCCTGCCTCAGCCTCCTGAGTAGCTGGGATTACAGGCGTATGCCACCACGCCAGGCTAATTTTTGTATTTTTAGTAGAGATGGGGTTTTGCATATTGGCCAAGCTGGTCTCAAACTCCTGACCTCATCGCATCTGGCCTCCTGCTGCCACTTTCTTACTCAAGAGGCCCGAAGATATGGCCCTCCCTACCCTGGGGGATGAATCACAGTGAGTGGTGGCCATTTAGGAATGGGTATGGTCAAGCATTTCTGGTAGGAAAGTCTGCAGGAAAAAGGGCTTCTGAAAACATTTTGCACTCCCCCCAACCTTTTTTTTTTTTTTTTTAATATATTTTGAGACGATGTCTTGCTCTGTCACCCAGGATGGAGTGCAGTGGCACAATCATGGCTCACTGCAGTCTCTACCTCCCAGGCTCAGGTGATTCTCCTGACCTCAGCCTCCCGAGTAGCTGAGACTACAGGGTGTGTGCTACCACATCCAGCTTTTTCAAAAAATGTTTTTGTAGAGACAGGGTCTCACTATGTTGCCCAGGCTGTCCTTGAACTCCTGGGCTCAAGCAATTCTCCCATCTCAGCCTCCAAAAGTGCTAAGATTACAAGCATGAAAGTTTCACCCTCTCAAAAAGAGACAAGAGGGAGGAACAGGTAATTTTTCTTGCGCAGCCTCTGTGAGGATTAGACAGTGGGATCTGTGGCAGCCACAGTATCACCATGAGGGGACAGCCCTGAAGACAAAGCCAGCCTGCTGAGGACAGAAGAGTGGCAAGATGGAGAGACCTGGGCCTACCATGACACTGTCAAGCACTAAATCACCCAAACCCAGGACCAGGCCACCTCTAGCCTTGTTACAGGAAACTTGGGTGCTGCTGTAGAAGGGTTAAGTATGCATGCTCTGGAACCTAAATAACTGCCTGGTAAGTGGCTCCACTTTCTAGCTCTGCCTTCTTGGCCAAACTCCTAACCTCTGTTCCTCAACCTACAGACGTGGGACTAATAATAGCACTCACCTCATAGAAATGTCATAAGGGTTAAATGAATTAATTCAGGCTTAAAACAGTGGCTGGGTCAAAAGTGCTAAGTAAATGTGACCCAAGATGACCATGTGTCAGACATATGCTAGATAATCTACAAAGACCATCTCATGAAAAGCAACCACACAGCAGGCCTCATCACCATCCCGGTTTACAAGAGGAAAGAGAAGACGTGGAGCTTAGATCTGAACAATGTCCATTTGCTTCCTACCTCAACTCCACAACCTGGCAAGCAGTGTGCAAACTCCACTATGATTAATTTATAACATTGCATCCAAAGGGGAAAGACTCTCAGGCTGTATTAGGGACTTAGAGAAAGATCCTTAAAGACAGTTTAGTTCAGTGGTTTTTGAAGTGTGGTCCCCTGGAACAGCAGCATCAGCAACACTCAGGGACTTGTCAGAAATGCAGTTTTGTTTTTTGGGTTATTTTTGAGACAGAGTCTCGTTCTGTCACCCAGGCTAGAGTGCAGTGGCACAGTCTTGGCTCACTGCAACCTCCGACTCCCATGTTCAAGTGATTCTCGTGCCTCAGCTTCCCAAGTAGCTAGGATTACAGGCATGAACCACCACACCTGGCAACTTTTTGTTTTTTTACTAGAGACGGGGTTTCAACATGTTGGCCAGGCTGGTCTTGAACTTCTGACCTCAAGTGATCCACCTGCCTTGGCTTCCCAAAGTGCTGGGATTACAGGCGTGAGCCACTGTGCTTGGCAGAAATGCACGCTTTTGAGCCCCACCTAAATCTGTGTTGTGAGAAGTCCTCCAGGCTATTCTGATGTACAATGCAGTTTGAGGACCACTGGTCTAATTCAACTCCCCAACTTTTCAGATGCGGAAAAAAGAAACCCAGAGAGACACAATGACTGGGTGAGCTAGGATTACTGGATTACTGGTTTCCTGAGAGCCATTCAGTGTTCTGTCTCCTACAGAGCAATCAGATCTTGGGATATGGTAGGCAGAATCCCAAGAACCTGTGATCTTATATACAAAATCAACTTTGTGGATGAGATTAAGTCAAGGACCTTGAGATGGGAAGAATATGCTAGGTTATCCAGGTGGGCCCAATCTAATCACACAGGCCCATAAAAGCAAACGATTCCCCCCCAGAGGGAGTTACAGTTGTCAGCTTCAGGGAGACCTGATGATTTGCCAGCAGGGTCATAGGTGCAATGCTGCTGGCCTGGAAGACGGGAGAAGGGACAGGGCGGCAGCTGCAGAATTTTTAAAAGGCAAGGAAGCATGTTCTCCCCTAAGACTCTGGACTTTTCCAAAGCCCAGCCCACACCTCAATTCCAGCCCAGTAAGACACCTGTGTTGGACTTTGAACCTACAGAACTGTAAGCAGAACTGTATTAACAAGTTTGTGGTAAGGTGTTATGACAATGATAGAAAACTAATACACGGGGATTTCCCAAGACTCTCAAGTGATTGTTCATTTTCCTTTTAGGTTCTTTTTTTTTTTTTTTGATGGAGTTTCGCTCTTGTCGCTCTGGAGTGCAATGGCATGATCTCGGCTCACCGCAACCTCCACCTCCCGGGTTCAAGCGATTCCCCTGCCTCAGCCTCCCGAGTAGATGGGATTACAGGCACCTGCCACCACGCCCAGCTAATCTTTGTATTTTTAGTAGAGATGAGGTTTCACCATGTTGGCCAGGCTAGTCTTGAACTCCTGATCTCAGGTGATCTGCCCACCTCAGCCTCTCAAAGTGCTGGGATTACAGGCATCAGCCACCGCACCTGGCCTTAGGTTCTTTAATGCAACAGATTTCTCCCTCAATTTGCCTAGTGAAACCTACAATTTCACTAGGCAAATTGTGACATCAGGAGATCAATAAAGAAGGAACTCTGGGTCTGTCTTCGACATCTGTTTTTCTTGTAGAAGAAACAAGAGGCTAAAGCAAAGTGACCTGCTAAAGATCACATAGCTAGTAAGAGAACTTAGAACTTTACCTCTTTTTCTTCTGAACCCCAAGTTCAACTTTCTTCATACCATACCATGACGCCTGTTAGCCCCCTTCATTCACTCAACTATCCAACATTTGAAAAGTACTTTCTAGGTGCCAGGTGCCAAAGATAGAATATAAATACTTATCTATAGTATCTTCCATGTGTAAGGTTTTCCCTTCTACCCAAAAATCAATACCCAGGCCAGTACAATTTCTAATTAAATTTTTATTCTATACTTTTTACCTGGAGTAGCTATTTGCATTATCATCCTCCTATGCTACAAATAATATATTAAAGTCACTGCACAGCTAAATGTCCTTTGTTTTTGACCACAGTGTTACTACATTCACTCCAAGCAGAGGTAAGTCCATACAATACTGCTCCCCAGGAAGAATGAGACACATTGGGGGCTCCAAGCATGATTTCTAAATTAAGACACATTTTAAAAATAAGGAATGGCCCAAACTTCAAAATCTTTTAATAGTAAATTTTTTATTATGGAAGGGAATAAAAACTATTTTTAAAGAACTCTAATAAGAACCTCACATTTTTTGATACTCTAAACTTGGGAAATAAATTATAAAAGGTATTATTAGTTTTGGGACATGTTTTAACGGAAAGTGGCCCAGATACAGAGCTTGAACCTTTCACCAGACTTTGTCACTGTCTCAGAGGCAGGGCTCGCTGACTTGAGGTGGCAAACTGCAAGGACTGAGTCAACTAGCGTTGTTTAATCCTTATCTGAGGGAAGCTTTAAGGGAGCCTTCTCCAAGCCTGATGCCTGCTCATTCACAGAAAGGCTCTTTCTTATGAGATATAACAGCAACCTGAATCATCATCCTGTTTAATTAGCATCTCAGAGCAGCCTCAGAACACCAAAGCAACTGGGTCACAGTAGTATTATAGCACACTGATGACAACTGGTTTTGTTCAAGCCTTGCAGATTACCCTCCACTACTGTGCCTAAGACGGCTCTTATCCAGCATGGCACACACTTCTGCTCATGCTCACAATATTTACTTACTCATGTTTGTCCATCTCCCCTAAACTGTGAGACTTGTTCTTGCACCCCCCAAGGACTGGCACACCATAGGCACTGTAAATGTGGGCTGATGGAATGAATGCAATGTCTGACAAACTTGAGAGCCTGAAGACAACTAATGAGGATACTCTTCAATGAGTTACAAAACTGATGCTGGTGGAGCTTGGAGAATGTGGAACAAGGTATGTGTTCATTTTTGGCCACCAGCAAAAAGTTTTTTGTCCTTTTAATTATGCCTCCTACATCTAGGATGGAAGCCGCTGTCCTCCCAGCTATCAATGCCAACTACGTGGCAGCTAGATGGGCTACATACAAGGAGCTACCCTTCAAGGCCCTGTGAGCATTTCTTTGATGCAACTCTGCATCCTATCAAGCTTCTTAAAGACTACTTCAAAGTGTTAGCCAAAGCAATACATACATAGCCCTAGGTGTTTTGGTCCTTACTTCCTTAGAGCTAGACGATCTCCTTACGTTTCTTCATGAAAAGCTCATGAGACTGGCTGGAGAACCTTTAACTTGCCATTAACACAAAGACTGAGGGAATGGGCTCTGGCACCAGCCTCTGGGACCTGCACCACGGCCCAGTACCACCAAGGCTTCCCAGTCAACCTCAGAGGGACAGAGACTTGTCCAGTTCTTCTCAGGTCCATTTACTCAGTGCTACTCAAGTTATGGTACATGGATTTAGAATCTGCACTTATGTCCTACAGCTGCTCCGGCAAAAGTGCCAGTTTCAGAAACTGAATCCATTAAATACACACTTAATCAATTATGATGTCAGTATGAAACATCAGCCAGCCACTCACTGGCTAAGGGCTAATTGTGTGTACTTAAGACAAAAGTTCCAGGCTTGACTAGCTTTTTAGAATAAATGTGGTTGGTCTAATGTGCATACTGTCCAGGTATGATGCAGCACAGGGCTACTGGAGAAAAAAACTGAGGGTGTCAGCACACGTGTGAAAGCCAAAAGTCACCAGGTCAATTTTATCATCTGTAAAATGGGGATAACAGTATTTGCTTTGCCTTCTGCCTAAAGCTGCTGTGTAAAATAACCATAAAAGTGTTTTACAAACTAGAAAGTTATGTAATTATTAGAACTTTTAAATAAAAATTACATAAAACATACATTCATCTCTGTCATACTTTGGCAATTACTGATATCAAAATCAGATATAATACAAAGTACAGTCTATTAAATTAAGACAAACAGTTTAAAGTTAATTTTTTGTTAAGTAATTTCTCTCCTACAATCTGCCTTAAACAAGCAGACCCTGCATGGGTCTGGACACCTGCTGCTGGTCGTTTTTTTGGTAAGTCTAGCTGCTGTATGTTTCAGTAATGTTTCATCTCCGACGGTGTGGAAGGTCAGTTCTTGGCCAAGTCTCTGGACACTTCACTTCTTAGCTACTATTTACTATTACTTTCATTGTATCTCCCCTCTCAATTCTCCTATCTGGGACCAATACAAACTAAAACTATTTTTAAAGCTTTCTAAAGCATTTTGCATTACAAGAAAAGATGTTAAATAAATGGGGACTAATAATGACACACAACTGCATACAAATTAAATTCTAGCAGGATTTCGAAAGCATTGAAAACTGCCCCAAAATGGCATATTGAGCACAACTAGAATGAGAAAAACCGCCTCACAGGCTTGCCTGTTGTACTCTACAGACAGTGCCCTCTGTTATGTGGAGAGCAGACCTGGAAACCAATGACTCCTTTGCTGCCTGCATCAGAGTCACCTGCCAGGTGCTCCTAGCCATACTTCTCCAAACCTGTCCCTACTCACATTAATCTAGAATAATCTGCTGTGGCTGATTCTGGACCCTCTGCTGCCATGTGGATCTTAGGTCCAACAGATGGTACTATTCCTTACAACACACTTAGGGCCCAATAGTTCATCTTCTCTGCCTCCTGGGACCCAGTCATCTGCTTCCCTCCAATACAAGCCCATGAAAACACTCACACAAACTTTCTTTAATCTGATCATCTTTCAAGCATAATTTGAAATAAAATTATATATTTAGATCACCATTCTCCTCCCATAAAAGCCCCAATCAAAACATGGCTCTGCTACAGATCCTGACAAGTATTTGTTTCTTTGGGAAAACCTTTCAAGTCAAATTATAAACCTGTAATAAGTGTCTCTGTGGCTGAGTGGTGGTTGGGTGGTAGCTGGCCCCAGAAGTGGTACAAAACGCACAGAAAGCCTGACCCAGGTCCAAATCTCTTGAGTGTGGCCGTTTTGGCGGCATCTAACAGCTACATCCTTGGATTCTGTTTTGATCCACAAAGAAAGCCCGTTCCCTTATTTCCCTTCCGATGTCTTTGTGCCCATAAGGTGGGACCAGCCTGTCTGCAGTTTATAGTAAAGTTATGATGTTTTCCATCAGGTTAGAAAGGTTGGGATTAAAGGACTTTTCTCCTTCATTAAGAATGTCCTTCTTTGTCTTTCTGTACTTCATCTACCAAACAGAGGATGTCAGAAATTAGCCACAATCTTGAGCAGATAAAGAACATATTCAGAATACACACAGCTTTATACAATGGACTTACTCATTTTAACACTGAGCAAACAAATAATGAGAAGTTAGTAGGTCTAAGACGCAGCTGGGGAAGGAGGTCTTTTCTCCAGAAGATTCTGTCACATACCTCTTTTTATGCCATTGTTGCTTTAAAAAATCCAGATTCTCAGGCCGGGCATGGTGGCTCACGCCTGTAATTCCAGCACTTTGTGAGGCCGAGGCGGGCGGATCACCTGAGGTCACGAGTTTGAGACCAGGCTGGCCAACACAGTGAAACCCTGTCTCTACTAAAAATACAAAAATTAGCTGGGTGTGGTGGTGCATGGCTGTAATCCCAGCTACTCGGGAGGCTGAGGCAGGAGAATCGTTTGAACCTGGGAGGTGGAGGTTGCAGTGAGCGAGATCATGCCATTGTACTCCAGCCTGGGCAACAAGAGTGAAACTCCGTCTCAAAAAAAAAAAAAAAAAAAAAAAAAAAAAAAAAAATCCAGATTCTCACCCGTGAGCTGTGTTATGAGGAAGGGACCTCTGCAATAATGTGAAGGTAACCCTTGGCTAACGAAAGTAAAAACACCAGACCCATGCTTCTTCAGAATCATAAAGTGTAAGTTATTCTACTGAATGTCAAGAAGGCAGTTTGACTTCCTAACGAGCTGTTCTCTGGGACTTTTAATTTGCCTTATTAATGTGTCAATCCTGATTCCACAGCATAAAACTGCATGTCCAGAAAGTAGAAACATGGGTTGGATGAAAATTAATAAGAACTTGATCAGGCTGGTCTTTCCCCTTGACATGCAGGTTTCTCTAAAGGTTGTAAGACACTGTGTGATCAAGGTGCCTTTTATTCTCAGGGCTCTTTTCTTTGATATTTAAGTTCCCTTAGGAGTTGATGGTATCGACTTCAGAAGTATAATAATCTTTTCTTTTTATTCATTCTACAAATTTTTATTGCATGCCTGTGTGCAGGGGCTGAAATGGGGAGCCAAAAGTTCACCTAGTGTCTACCCTCCAGGAGCTCACAGAATGATCTGGGGGTAAAGCAAAATTTAAACAGTGATGTAAACAGTACTTCAGAGCGCAGACTTAATGCCACCAACCTAGTTAAGGAAGTCAGGAAAGCATTCTTGAGGGAGTGTAGCTTGACCTGAGTCATAAAGAGTGAGTAAGAGCTACCTGGGGGGAAGGGGAACAAACTGCTTTGTGGAGGGACAAGCAGGCAGGGTGTAGGGAACCAACACAGTGGAGCACAACTCTGAGAGGGTGGGAAGCTGATATGCAGGAACCCAGGGCCAACAATGGCTGTTGCTGGGTTAGGGATGATATGGAAGAGTTTGGGTACTGGTGGTGGAAATGCATACAAGAGGCAGCATAGACTTCGAAGGTAAAACCGACAGGACTTGATGCTGACACATGGCCAGGGGGTCTGTGAGATGTGTTGCAGTGAGCCTGAGTGTGTGGCAGTGTAAATCAGCACAGTGGACAGGGAGCCCTCTGGATGCCAGCACAGCAGGATTCTGATGAGGTGAGCACACACGTGGCACCTGCTCTAAATGCTACTTTCTCCTAGAAAGATTCCATTTACAGAAGAGAATGTTTTGGACTGAGAGCAAAATCTCAACTGGTCAGGAATGGGTTTAATTCCAAATGACATTTTATGGGTAACTACGAGAAACCTTTTATAGAACACAGGCTATCTTCCTGCTTTAGTAAATAGCTCAGGGTTTTGAGTAAACTGATTGTTTTCCGTTGTCTTAGAGTTATGATTCTGTATTAAGAGTATTCTTGTAAGACACGAGGAAGAGACTAGGCTTTATCAAAGTGATCCCAGGACATAGCCTAAAACTTGCTTTTTAAAATAAATCCCTGCTAGCAAGCTTTTTTTCCGTATCATTTTACTTCTCCTAAAGTAGAGGACAACAACGACAAATCTAGTCAAAGAAACTGTTCCAGTTAGTTTAACTGACAATTCCTCTGTGTACCTTCCTTATATTCAGATATTCCTTATCAGAAATCTTTTTTGATTTTTACCTCAAATTTAGGCAGTCTAAAAACAAAGACAAGAAATAAGGAAAAGAGAGAAAGCTGGGGCGGAGAGGAAGTTCTCGGAGTTTTTCACTGGAGCGGAGCTGTCCACTGAAGCTGCTGATCTGGAATAGCAGCAGGGCTAAAAGAAACTTATACTTGGCCCTGTCTCTCACTGGTACAGGAGCCTAGGCAAGTTAATTTAAGTCTCGATTTTCTCAACAATACATTGGGGATAATACCCAGTTGGGAAAAAAGGGCACGGTGGGGGTATCTTCTGCTACTTAAAGACACTGATCAGGGCAAAATAACCTGAACAGGGCCAAGTAAGGTGGCCCATGTCTGTTATCCCAGCACTTTGGGAGGTTGAGGTGGGAGGACTGCCTGAGGCCAGGAGTTCAAGATTAGCCTGGGCAACAAAGAAAGGCCCTGTCTCTACAAAAAATAAAATTAAATTTGCTGGGTGTGTTGGCACTCCCTGTAGTCCCAGCTATTCAGGAGGCTGAGGCAGGAGGACTGCTCAAGCCCATGAGGTCAAGGCTGCAGCCAACTATGATCACACCACTGCATTCCAGCCTGGATGACAGGGCAAGACCTTGACTGACACACACACACACACACACACCCTGCACATACTTCCCAGGAAGTACCAGCACTGATCCCTAGTCATTTTGTTACTCTCTAGTCCCATGTGGAATGGATGGTCCCTTGAAACTACAAAGGCCGTCTGTGCTTGTCTGCAAGGCTATGGGCAGCAGCACAGACATCCAGGAGGAGTTAAAGCTAACAATCTACTATTGCTACTAAACCAAACCCAGCTATGCTGCCACACAAAGGGGTTCCTTTTGTCTATTTAGAGCGTATTTTACAGGTCAGACACAGTATTTAACCACTTATTCCCCACCCTCAGCTATCTGCTTTACTATGTACACTTTATTGATGATGTTTAAGTAACATGTGAAAATATGGCAGGTGATACTAATAATTTCTACCAAGGTGCCCACAAAAAAGAAAGTTCGTAATTATCACACATGGTATGAACTTCAACTGCAGATATGGTAGGCAGATATCAGCCACTTGCTGTGGGTTTTTAATGTTCTGTAACACTGTAACTCTAATTATCCTGGGTTTACAGCCTTCAGGTTCTGCATTAATAAATTTATGGAGGCAAAACAAAGGAGGAACAAAAAACAATTTCCCAAATAAAATACATCCATTTGCCTCAATTTAAGTTAAATCCAATCTATGTCCCCCTTCTGGAAAATTAAAGCATTACTCAAGAAGGCCTGGTTTAGTAATTTTTCTCTTGCACAAAATGTATACGTAGTTTGTTATAATGTTAATATGAAGTCTCATAACTCAGAAGGCCAACACAGGTGTCACTAATGATGTTTCTTTGTGCTAACCAAACTTGCCTTTTTTTCTGAAACACAGTTTGCATTTTATTATTATTTTTTAGATGGAGTCTCACTCTGTTGCCCAGGCTGGAGTACAGTGACGAGATCTTGGCTCACTGAAACCTCTACCTCCCGGGTTCAAGTGATGCTCCTGCCTTAGCCTCTAAAGTAGCTGGATTACAGGCACCCACCATCACGTCCAGCTAACTTTTGTATTTTTAGTAGAGACGGGGTTTCACCATATTGGCCAGGCTGGTCTCGAACTCCTGACCTAAGGTGATCCACCCTCCTCGGCCTCCCAAAGTGCGGGGATTACAGGCATGAGCCACTGCACCCAGCCTGCATTTTATCTTATCTACAGTTATATATACTCCATTAAAATAATCCTAATCAGAGGGTTTCTTTTATAGCCCCAAAAGAAAATTGCCACTGTGCTGAAAACCTTATATATTTTGTCTAACGGAGTTTTTCCTATGTTAAAAGGAGCTTGTGCCCTTTAAGAAATTAGAAAGGAAGGGCACAGAGTGCTAGAGTCCAGGACTAGGTATAAGCCATTGATTAGCACTTTTCCTCTGAATAAAAGCAGAGAACCTGAGAAAAGGCTGAACCCAGCAGGAGTAGGAGACCTGCGGCAGCCCTGTGATGAAGAAAGAGAAGAGCTTTTTCTCAAGTACAGGGAGAGAAATACTTACATAGTTTGAAACACTGAAATTGAAGTTGCACAAGGTCTTGCACTAGCTTATTTTTATTTTACCCTTTGCTCAAACAGTGGATTAGCTTATAAAGAGAAATGATTACATTTTGTGCTTTCTGAATCTAAAAAGGCATCTTTTTAAAGAAATTACACTCCAGGGAAGTGACTCTTGGTGTAAGCTGCTTCTCTCCATGGCTCATCCTACCCAGGAGTTGGGTCTGTGCTTCCAGAAAGCCAATTACTGGAAGCTGCTTATTCACAAGGCACCCATACTGAAATGTTTACAGTTTCAGTGCAGAAACGACAAACCTGCTGCCACAATAGGACTCCCTTAACAAGATTTCAAATCTGTGAAGATCATACTGAAGCGGAAATCTCCAAAGCTGTTCCAAACACTTGGCTCTGGAGGTCTTTCTCATTTTTACTCCTTTCTTCCTACTTGCATTCATATTACCTTCCTCTTTCGCACCCGGAGCCACTGCCATCTCACCAACGCTCTCGCCTGTCCATCTTCTCAAACAGGTTGAGGTATTGTCAGGCAAAGCCACCCTATTCCTGGAAGTGGCAAGTTTTTCAAAGGCAGGGGCAGCCTGACAGGACAGACACTGGAGGCTCAGGAAATAGCAGAGTCCCAGCAGAAAGGAACTTTCAAAAACGAGGATATCTTGATATACTGAAGCTAATGCCAATGAAACTACCACAGGATCACTGGTCCTCAAATCCTAAGCCAGCCCCTGCCACCTCTCAGCCAAGCTTCAGTGGGGTCATTTAATTTGGCAACAACATGAGACATAGTCTCACATCTCATTTCAGGTCACTCCCACAGGTCATGCTCAAACCGGGGCCTTTTCTTCCTGGAAACCTACTGGAAGGAAAAACTACGTCCACACTAGAATGGAAACTTTGGCACCCAAATCTGTGACTAGCTTATGAACCTTCAGTTTTCAGAATTGATTTTTGCATTTCTCAAAGGGTAACTCTGCCACCTGCACCAGCATGGTCCTAAGCTTGAGTTAAAAAACACAGACTGAGGACACTGTCCCAGAAGAGACTGAATGGGAAGCATCCCAGGTTCTTATCCTCAAGAAAGTTTTAGAACTATTGGTTCAATTCATCTTCATAGATATGGAAATTTTCTTCTACATTTCTGTTTCAGAAGATTCCTACCAGATTAGGAAGATACTCAGCAAGAGTACAATCCTCATTTCAACAGAAAAGGAAAAAGGAAAAAAAGAAAAGGAAACTCCAAGAGTCTCCATGAAGAAAATAGAGATCTGGAAGTAATATAACCAAGTTTAGAAATCCTGCATAATTCCTCAATACATCTCCTCCTCCTCCACCTACACTTTTTTTTTTTTTTGAGATAGGGTCTCGCTCTGTCACTCATTCATCAAGCCAAAGAGTTTGAGGTTGCAGTGAGCTTTGATTGTGCCACTGTACTCATAGTGGAACAATCAGAGCTCACTGCAACCTCAAATTCCTGGGCTAGAGGAATCCTCTTGCCTCTACTTCCTTAGTAGCTGGGACCACAGGTGCATACCACTGCACTTGGCTGATTTATTTTTTGTAGAGATGGCATCTCACTTTGTTGCCCAAGCTGGTCTCAAACTCCTGGGCTTAGGCAATCCTCCTACCTCAGCCTCCTGAAGTGATGGGATTACAGATGTGAGCCACCATGCCCAGGCCCAAGATTTAAGTGTCTATTGTTAGGACAGATTTCATTTATCCAACACCTTGACAAGGCAGTCCAGTTATTAACTCCATTTTACAGGTTAAGAAATTCAGCTTAGGGGCTAAGTGATGTTATAGTTTCCCAAGAAGCCAACTCCTACAGATGTCTGGATGAAGGATAAAATATGACCTAAAAGATTCTATAATTATGACTCTTTGCCAACAAAGACCGTCCAGTAAATTCAAGAGCCTCTGTGCTCTCCTTTGGGCCTTGTCTCTGGGCAGTGTGGTGGTCGTATAATAAAAGGTGGTTCTATCACATGACTTTTCTTTCAAGAGTGAGATTAGAAAAAAGCAACAAGTAGAGGATGGGACTGGTCAGATTATTGAAATTGTCTGAAAATACACCAATGACTAAGGGATTTCAGAGTTCCCAAGTCAAATTAAGGAGCTAAAGGCAACAACTGGGTGTTTGCTGGTGGTTTCAGAGCTCCTTGGGGGTCCGTGGGAAAAGTGAGTCTTTATGTGGCTGGATCATTTCCTGGGGTTCTCTACAGCTAATTTGGAAGATCTTAAACAGAGAATCTTCTGGAGCTGAGCAACAAGATTTTTTGTTGGCATATTCACCTTAAATGGAGCTTTTTTCCAAAGGTGGGAAGGGATGAGGTAGGTCTGAGAGAACAGAATGCTGGGTCAGCAAGTTAGTGAGATTCCATTATTGGGAGATGATTTGCTTCAATGAAGAACGGTTTCTGTGGCACTGCTAAAACCCTCGCCCTGCCAGGAGGCGAAACTAAAACATTAGTAGTTGATACAGATACTATCAACAACCCCGGCCGCCTTGCACAATGTTCCTCAGGTCTCTACCAGGGATGCTTAACGCTTATCCCTGTCCTGATGTACCCTAGTGAAGGAACAAGTTGTCACTTGGCCCACAGTGAGAGGGCTAAATACTAATGACTCTGCTTCTGCCTGGGAGAGTGTGGGGTGGGGGCGGGGGTAGCGGTAGATGGTGTTACTGAGAAAGCCAGGCAAAGTGGTTGTTCAGAGCAGAGAACTAAGAGAGTGCTCTTGGTGGACTGTGAGTTTCACAGGGCATGGTGGAGGAGACTGGCAAAGCAGCAGAGTGTGGTTCTTGACATGTGCCTATTTCCCCTGCCACTCACGCTTCAAACCCCCCAAGTCACTCTAGTAGTGGCAGGTCCAAGTGCCACATGGGGAGGGCAGGCCTCTGAGGCCTTACTGACTCAGCCCTCCCTTTGGCCGAGTTAGGTGTAGCTTCTCCACACTTACACAGACCTCACAGTATCCATAGACCATGCCTCCCAGCACTTACACAAGTGCTCACTGAACATAAGGTGGGGCTGCTTTTACCTGCTAAAAACTATCCACTGGAAATTCCTTCATTCTGAAATGGTCATTGTGCATTTCAATGTCTAGGAGGCATCTCAGACTTAACATGAACAAAATACAACTCCTGAATCCCCACCAAACCTGTTCTCTTGGGAGACCCTGGAGGAAGAACAGGTTTGGTGGTGATTCAGGAGTTGTGTTTTTCAACATTCAGGTGGCACTACATTCACCCAGTGGCAACTCACATTTTTGTCCCCAGAGACATACACTGAAACTCATGAACAACAAAGCCTCATACAGATGCCCTCTATAATGAAGGCAAAACCTGTTCCTCTGCCTTACAAAGAACCACAAGGACAAGAAATTAAGAATGCTGCTGGTCATCCATCTCTCATCATTTTTTTCCCCAAAACTATAACAGGAAAACAAAAATCAGTCTCACTACCAAAACACATTTTAACATCTCCTTAAATTTTTATACGTAGATTAAAATTCTGACCAGCATATTCACAAATTATTTCCAATATTACATACTTTTTTTTTTTTTTTTTGAGATGGAGTTTCGCTCTTGTCACCCAGGCTGGAGTGCAATGGCGCGATCTCAGCTCACTGCAACCTCCACCTCCCGGTTCAAGCGATTCTCCCGCCTCAGCCTCCCCAGCAGTTGGGATTACAGGTGCCCACCACCATGCCCAGCTAACTTCTGTATTTTTAGTAGAGATGGGGTTTCCCCACGTTGGCCAGGCTAGTCTCAAACTCCTGACCTCAGGTGGTCCGCCTGCCTCGGCCTCCCACAGTGCCAGGATTACAGGTGTGAGCCACCATGCCCAGCTCAATATTACATACTTTTAAACATACATATTTAAATGGCATCCAAAGGCCCACCTCTTCCCACTGGAGGTTACATTGCTTCTACGTGTCTCTTAAAGAACCTGTCAGTCACAAATTTACCCTGCACTGATCACCCCCCATGCCAGGCATTAGGGTGGGCTCTGGGGCCAACTCAGCCCTTGGGGAGCCTATCTGGTGAGGACGACAATCAGATAAGCTGGTAGTCACCCCAAGAGCAGCTCCAGCTTAGCTGGGCATTTGCATAAGTGCTGGGAGGCATAGGCTCTGAATACTGTTGGGTCTGTGTAACCTGCAAAGGGAAGGCTGAGTCAGTAAGGTCTCAGAGGTCTGTCCTACCCTCAGTGAGGAGGCACTCAGACCTGCCACTATTGGAGTGACTTGGGGGATTTGACCCATGGGTGCTAAGTGGTGTAATAGGTAAAATGGGAGTGCAGCTGGGCAGCACTTGCTGCCTGGGGAATGAGGTGACAGGTGAGCTGGTTTTAAATCGATGTGCTTTTCACAAATAATAGTGGATTAAAATGCCCAGGCCTGCTCTCTGAAGAGGAGGGAGACACAAAGTCTTATATCAGCAAACAAATACATTTCATTTTTGAGGGGTTGCCCTTTCAAAGCATTAGTATATTTTTATTACTTCAATAAAGAACCCTACCTAGAAACAAGCAAACAGAATAATTTGGGAACTGTCCTATCACTTATCCTAATGAATTACACTATTATCCTAGCAACCAGCTTTGTATGAAAAAACAAAAATAACTTTCAAGCAAACCAGAGGCCTTCACCTGACATGTGTCTGAACTAAGATTTAAGGTTCACAATCACAGCTTTCAAAGTCTGGAACCACATGGCACCCCTAGGGAGCCAGCCACAATGAATAGGCCTGAGACTTGTTAGATGAATATACATTTTACTAGAAACTTCCACTAGCTGCTCCGTGAGAAACACATAACAGAGATGAAATGCCTCCACCGCTGAACAATGTCAGGGCACCCAGGTCCCACTGGTGGTGCTAGTCCATCAGAAGGGACTAGCACCACTTCAGATTTGAGTTCGGCTGGAAATTTGTTATTCTGTTGACCCTGGTATTGTCTATCTGCCTGTGTAGCAGTTCTTCAATTCTATTTTCATAAGGCACGTTAACTGACAGCAGTATGCTGCCAACATCTTCAAATTAAGTGTCAGCTCTTAAGTGCATACAACCAAAATCACTCCACTATTACCAGGTTTACGTGGACAGCATCAGATAGGGCTGAATTTTCTCTTCAGTTTAATTTCCACCAATAAGTTTAGAGACAGGAGGGTTATCTTTACTAAAC
This sequence comes from Homo sapiens, assembly GCF_000001405.40. Lineage (NCBI taxonomy): Eukaryota > Metazoa > Chordata > Mammalia > Primates > Hominidae > Homo > Homo sapiens. The sequence continues at coordinate 107,327 of NW_003315971.2, forward strand.
CAACACATGAGGACACAATTCTAAGGCTGATGCTAGGTAGCTCATAATATTTGCTTCCTTTAAAACCACATCAACTCAAAAGCTTCCAGGAATAGTTTAGCCTCCACCAAGGAGGCTACTTGATTTCCAGCAAAGTTAGTTTTATCCTTTACAGTCCTCTATCATCATCTAATTTACAGATGAGAAACTTTTTTTTTTTTTTTTTTGAGATGGAGTCTCGCTGTGTCGCCCAGGCTGGAGGGCAGTGGCGCGATCTCGGCTCACTGCAAGCTCCGCCTCCCGGGTTCATGCCATTCTCCTGCCTCAGCCTCCAGAGTAGCTGGGACTACAGGTGCCCGCCACCACGCCCGGCTAATTTTTTGTATTTTTAGTAGAGACAGGGTTTCACCGTGTTAGCCAGGATGGTCTCGATCTCCTGACCTTGTGATCCGCCCGTCTCGGCCTGCCAAAGTGCTGGGATTACAGGCGTGAGCCACCGTGCCCGGCTGGGATGAGAAACTTTTTAAGAGCTCTACTAATGCCTAATTTAGGGGCACCCCTGAAGAAAGGAGTTCCATACATCTCAATTTTCCAGAGAAGTGATTCAGGCTATGAGAAATAGGTACAGAAAAACAAATTGAGAATAATAAAATTCCAAATTAACAATTAATGGACATTAAACACAAAATTAACAGGGAACAACATTAATATCACTAATAAAATAAATGAAAAGGAACTAAAAGTTTAAAAAGAAGGTCCAATGCCACTGAGGTAGCAGTAAACAGGCTCACCTGTCCTCATGGATGCTCATGCCTTGTTATGACCCTTTGTTGATTAAACCACAAGACAATGCCTATCAAAAACCATAACAATGTTGGCCCTTCTTGACCTAGCAGTTCAACAGCCATAAATTTTTCTTTAAATCGAAAAATAAAAATGCTTATTGCTCCATAGAAAGTAGTAAATTAACTGGAAACCACCTCAATAAAAGTGCGGTACTTGAATAAATTACATTATACTCACGCTAAACTAAGAAAAAAGAAATCACAGATTAGAATGAAAATTAAAATTACAAAATAAAGTAAAAAAAGCAACACAGACTTGTATCTACACTGTGATGATGGAGACTCACAAGGTTTGAATCCTGGGCAAGCTCCTCTCTGGACCTCAAATCTCACCTGGAGTGTGATGAGACCCACCAGAAAGGGTTGGTTTGAGGTCTAAATGTGGTAATTCACGTATAGTGCTTAGAAAGCATTCAGTACATGTTAGCAGTCATTACAGTCATTCCTGGCATCCATGGAGGACTGGTTCCAGGACCTCTGCCAATACCAAACTCCACGGATGCCCAAGTCGCTTATATAAAATAGCACAGTATTTGTATATAAGCTAAGCACATCCTCCTGTATACTTTAAGCCATCTCTAGATTATGTATGATACCTAATATGATGTAGCTAATGCTATGCAAAGTTGTTATACTTTCTCATTTAGAGAATAATGACAAGAAGAAAAAAGTCTGTATATATTCAGAACAGATGGAATTTTTCCAAGTTTTTTTTTTTTTTTTGAGACAGTCTCGCTGTGTCGCCCAGGCTGGAGTGCAGTGGCGTGATCTTGGCTCACTGCAAGCTCCGCCTCCTGGGTTCACGCCATTCTCCTGCCTCAGCCTCCCGAGTAGCTGGGACTACAGGCGCCCGCCACCACGTCCAGCTAATTTTTTTTGTATTTTTAGTAGAGACAGGGTTTCACTGTGTTGGCCAGGCTGGTCTTGAACTCCTGACCTCAGGTGATCTGCCCACCTTGGCCTCCCAAGGTTCTGGGATTACAGGCGTGAGCCACTGCGCCCTGCCCCCTCCAAATATTTCCAATCTGCTGTTGATTGAATCTAAGAATGCAGAACCCATGAATATGGGAAGCTAACTGTATTATACTATTATATCTAGTGAAATAATCAGCACATGGACAAAATCTAGAAGAGTCAGATATGTTGGGTTATCAGGATTGCGGCATTCTTCTACGAACAGTTCCATTAGTTTTACAATAAGAATAATACTGTTATCTTTATGTAAATAATATGTAAATCTTTTTCATGACTCAGGAGTTCAAATGGGAACCCTGACCAGCACAGATGGTGCCAGCACCTCATCTAAACCCTGTGGCCAATTTTTCTTTTCTTCTGCCTTTTCCCATGTTTCTTGCTCCTTCCTATGGGCAGAGCGACGATTCCCACTTCAGAGCCCATTTCACCATAGAGTCATGTGGTAGCACTTTGCCTAGCCTCAATTCAGTGCATAAAGGCACGAGGCTGCATTCTGAAACTGAGGAAATAGGGTACAACTGTGCACAACAGAGAGGTTTTCTTCAGGCCCATAAAAATGTTTGACATGTGCTCTTTCTCAGTGTAATTAAATACAGTCTTGGTTTTTCACCACATTGTCAGTATCTTGGGAAAATTATTTTAAAAGTCTAAACAGGCCAGGTGTGGTGGCTCAGGCCTGTAATCCCGACACTTTGGGAGGCCAAGGCAAGTGGATCACCTGAGGTCAGCAGTTCGAGACCAGACTGGCTAACATGGCAAAACCCCATCTCTACAAAAAAAAAAAAAAAAAAAAAAAAAAAAAAAATTAGCCAGATGTGGTGACAGGAGAATCGCTTGAACCTGGGAGGCAGAGGTTGCAGTGAGCTGGGATCGCACCACTGCACTCCAGACTGGGCAAGAGTGACTCTGTCCAAAAAAAAAAAAAAGCCCAAACAGCAAGTTATCCTTTCTGTTTCCCCTTCCAATTACATTTTAGGAATAATTATGATGATAGCTTAAATTTTTTTGGTATCTTTTTGGGATTCTCTGGGTTTTTTCTTTTTTATAAACATGACACAGACCTCATGATTTCCTATTTTTCTCTCCACTTTCTTTCAATTTGGATTTAAAAATTTATCAGTTTACATCTATTTGAAAGGCTAAATAAAAAGCAAGCAGTTATTTAAAATGCTGTATTAGAATCTAGTGTTGACTTATCTAAACATGTATATTAGGCTGAACTGCCTTCATATCTAATATTTTCTTGTCTAATACATATTAAACGCAAACCTAAATTTCTTTTCTTCAACCCTTCTTTCTGTTATTGGTATGTTGATGACCCCTCACCTCGCCCACTGACTTGCTGGAGCTAGAAACCTCAACTTCATCCTTGACCTCTGCCTCCTCACTTTCCCAAACCTGCTGCATCTAGTCAGTGTTTAAAATCTATCAACTTTAGCCGGGTGTGGTGACTCACGCCTATAATCCCAGCACTTTGGGAGGCAGGTGGATCGCCTGAGGTCAGGAGTTCGAGGCCAGCCTGGCCAACATGGTCAAACCCCATCTCTACTAAAAAATACAAAAATTAGTCGGCATGGTGGCACATGCTTGTAATCCCAGCTACTTGGGAGGCTGAGGCCTGGGAGGATGTTTGAAACTGGGGGGTGGAGGTTGCAGTGAGCCGAGAACGTGCCACTGCACTCCAGCATGGGTGACAGAGCAGGACTTCGTCTCAAAAAAAAAAAAAAAAAAAAAGTCTATCAACTTTGAATCCCTAAAACGTTTCTCAGATCCATCCAATCCTTCTGACTCCCGTTTCTACCACATACTCGGTCCTTACCAGCTCTTGCACAAATTAATCCCACAGCCTCTCGAATGACCTGTCTGCTTCTGATGTCTCCCTACTTATTTCCTGAGTTTCCTTTATAAAACACAAACCTGTACATGTGACTTACACGCTTAGAAATCACTAATGGTTTTGCACTGCCCGTAAATTAAAGGCTAAATCCTTCAAATACAATAGATCCCTGATATGGTTTGGATCTGTGACTTCACCAAATCTCAGGTTGAACTGTAGCACCCAATGCTGGAGGCAGGGCCTGGTGGGAGGTGGCTGGATCATGTGGGTGCTATTCCTGTGATACTGAGTTCTCACAAGACCTGGTTGTTTGAAAGTGTGCAACACCTCGCACCTCACTCTGTCTTGCTCCTGCCATGCAAGAAGCCTTCCTGCTCCCCCTCTACCTCCCTCCATGACTGTAAGTTTCCTGAGGCCTCCCCAGAAGCTGAGCAGATGCAGGCATCATGCTTCCTATACAGCTTCCAGAACTGTGAGCCAATTCAACCTCTTTTCTTCATACATCACCCAGCCTCAGGTATTTCTTTACGGACTAATACAAGCCCTCTGGAGTTCACATATTCTCAGTATATTCACTGTTTTAGGGGAGGAGGTGGAATGCTATAGGGAAGTATTTGTCCTGAATCATTCTGTGGATACACCACACAAACTCAGAATTCTTAATTATTTTGGGCCTTTTAGTGCTGACATGTTAAAAAGTTTACTTAAAAAAACAACTTTAGACCAGGCGCGGTGGCTCATGCCTGTAATCCCAACACTTCGGGAGGCTGAGGCAGACGGATCAGTTGAGGTCAGGAGTTCGAGATCAGCCTCGCCAACATGGTGAAACCCCGTCTCTACTAAAAATACAAAAATTAGCCAGGCATGGTGGCAGGTGCCTGCAACTTCAGCTACTCAGGAGGCTGAGGCAGGAGAATTGCTTGAACCTGGGAGGCGAAGGTTTCAGTGAGCCGAAATTGTGCCATTGCGGTCCAGCCTGGGGGATAGAGGAAGACTCAGTCTCAAAAAAAAAACAAAACCAAACCAAAAAAACCCAACTTTACTACCAGGCAGATTCTTTTCTTTGGCTTTAGATAATCGCTATCAAAACTTTGTCATCTCACTAGAATGTTAATGCTTTTACTTAACATGCAAGGTAGATTTTAGTCCCTCCCTTTTGCCTTCTGTCTTTTGAGAGATATAATTCCTGAGTGTGTTCGTGTTGGCTGATGCTATTTCATAAGACATAATATTAATACTGCACCTGAAATACCTCACACCCTGCCACCCTTCCCCCCGCAGCAAACTTGAGTTTCCAACAAGAGTAAAAAGGAGATAATGTTTTTATTTCCACCAAGGACAACTTTCAAAGAGATTAAGTTCTGAACACCCCTGGCAAGATGAGCTAGCTGCACTATGATGGAACTACAACATAAGCTATAGAGTACTGAGTGAGCTTGCTAACAGGAACACATCTTTACTAAGACAACAATGAGGGAGGACACCATCTGAGGGCGGTCACCAGTCTGCAGCTTGCATTTCCTCTGAAACCACCTAACTGTTGAAATGTGCCAAACACTGCTCTAAGCACTTTCCAAAGAGCAACACATTTAATCCTCCTAACATACCTCTTTACTGTAGGTGCTGTCAGTTTTCATACTTTGTATGGTAAGGACAGTGAAGCACAGAGGTTAAGTGACTTGAGCTAGTGACCTCGCAAGGAAACAACAAGTCCTGGAATTCATATGAAGCAGTGTGACTCTGGGGCTCTCACCCAGGCCTCCCCTCTACACAGCTGTTGAGGAGAACGGCAAAAGCCAGGACCTTCCGGGGCAAGTGTTTAGCTGCCTTGATTTTCTCTTCTCATACGTTTTTCCAATAAATTGGACGAATCTGATCTGCAGTAGCAAGCCTTGAGGGTCCCGCGAAATTGGCCTTGGCTTGGGGTGCGGAGGAGGAACCTCCATTTTCCTGAAACAGTATTGGATGAAGCAAGCCGTATCTTTTGGAAAAATCGAAGCCCTAGTGCAGGACCTGTGTGCGGCAAGGCATTGCTTTCTGCAGAATCACACAAACTTTCCTGCATGAAGTTCAGAAGCCTTGACATAGAGCTTCTCTAACCACACACCAGCTAAGGGGCCGAGGCTGAGGCTGAGTCACCCTGCAAGTTCCCTGACAGGAGTTTAACTTCACATTTCAACGGGTTTTCCAGTAGAGACTCAAGATATTTGTTGAATTGAAAGGGATGCCTGCTTTTACATACTATTTGCTGTTAGCTCTTTTAACAGATTAGCAATAACTAGTTTAACATCCCAGGGATGAGTAATTAACATATAATAACTTGTGTGTTGTGGCTTGTTTATCAATATTTTTGTTTATGGTCCTTTGGGATTTTTTTGAATATTTTTCTCTACTTATTTATTTTGAGACTAGGTCATTAAGACTGGCTAATTTTCGTATTTTTGGTAGAGACAGGGTTTCTCCATGTTGCCCAGGCTGGTCTCAAACTCCTGGGCTCAGGTAATCCAAAGTGCTAGGATTACAAGCATAAGCCACCTTGCCCAGCCTTGGCCAAAGAATCGTGTACTCCTTATAAATTTTACTTTAAAATCAAGTGTAATGCTCCCCACATCATCCCCCTACCTCTAGAGAGAAAAAAAAAGTCAAGAAATAAATCGTAGTAAAATTTGAGTCCTTCAATTTGTCATGATTTATTCTGTAAGGTAATATATGCAATAAAATTCAAAACTGAAAATTTCACTTGATTCCTTAGAATTTGGACGAAATCCTGAAAGAAAATGAACCTTTTCTCTGGAAATTTAGTGTCAATGTCATCATGCAGTGATATAAAAAGATATACCACACAGTGTTAAGAAAAACAGGTAAATTAGATACAACTCTCTGCTATATACTGAAAGCCATGGGAACAGGGCGCCACCGCCTAGAGAGTGAGAAATGAAGATGGGTCCCAGCAGAAGTAACAAAAAGCAAGTGCTTGCCAGAGAGAGGGGGCTGGGAGGGAGAGGAGAATGGAGAAAGGGAGTGTGGGAATGTGAGAAAGGGCAGTTGTAGCAAGCACAGAGGAAGAACAATCAGGTAGGGGTGGGGGTGAGGTACTGGAGTTAGGAGCAGAGAACAGGAGTTGAAGGGAGCCTTCACCAGGATGGGGGCCTTGCCAGGCCCTGGAAATGACCACCTTCAAGGAACATATAGTTGAGAATTTAGAGAGCATGTAGACTGGTGGCTCTATTTTACAGTTAAACTAGAGAGCCTACCTTTCTGACTTGGCTGTTTTGATGTTTTAATATGTGATTTCATTTTCATAATGTAATCAATCTATTTTATATTTTCCAAATCATGTTTTCCATCACAATTTAAAGTAAATTTAAGAAAGATGTGAGTCTGTTAGATGGGGGAAGTAAATAATTATCCATTATTTAAACTTGTATTAAAAATAAGCCCCTAAACTGGCCAGGTGCAGTGGCTCACACCTATAATCCCAGTACTTTGGGAGGCCGAGGAGGGTGGATTCCTTAAGGTCAGGAGTTCAAGGCCAGCTTGGCCAACATCCTCAAATCCCGTCTCTACTAAAAATACAAAAATTAGCTGGGTGTGGTGGCACGCACCTGTAATTCCAGCTACTGGGGAGGCTGAGACAGGAGAATCACTTGAATACAGGAGGCGGAGGTTGCCGTGAGCCGAGATCATGCCACTGCACTCCAGCCTGGACAACAGAGTGAGACCCTGTCTCAAAAAATCAAGGAAAAAAAACCCTAAATATAATCTTTAATATATTGATTCAGAAATTTAAAGAAAATTGGCCAGGCACAGTGGCTCAGACCTGTAATCCCAGCACTTTGGGTGGCTGAGGCAGGTGGATCACTTGAGATCAGGAGTTTGAGATCAGCCTGGCCAACATGGTGAAACCCTGTCTCTATTAAAAATACAAAAATTAGCCAGGTGTGGTGGTGCATGACTGCAGTCCCAGTTACTTGGGAGGCTGAGGCAGGAGAGTCACTTGAACCCACGAGGAGGTGGTTGCAGTGAGCCAAGATTGTGCCACTGCACTCCAGCCTGGCAACAGAGCAAGACTCATCTCAAAATAAAAATAAAAATAGAAAATAAAAATTAACCTAAAACCAGTTAACATATACTGTCAGGTAAAAAAAAAAGATTAAAAGTTTCCCAAGGGGGGTTGGAAAAATTTGGGAGGGGCACCTTCTATGAGAGGGGAACAAGCAAAGACTCCCCGACTCCCCCACTAGTAGGGCTATCCAGCCTCAAGGGATCCATGGCCACCAGATCTACCTTCTGTCACATCCCTGCACGCCTTGGCATTCCTTAATGTCTCAAAGGTGATTTGTACATACCAAGTTATATCCATACCCATTCAGAGGCAATTACCTCTGTAATATCATTCATGTCAGAGGTCATTGTGATTCTCATACACAATTATACCAAGGCAAACAGTGGTCAATGTTGGACAGAAGCAAAGGGGACTTGTGCTGAAATGAATAGATTCACAAGTCCCACACTTGTGGGAAGGGAAAAAGGAAGGGAAAAAGGAAGGGAAGTAAACACCATTTTTAAATATAGAAATGTTCTAGTTTTCGGCAATTTTCAGAGTAGTGTGACACAGGGAGAGGAGCAATGTCTCTTGAGGACTTCCCAATATTTTAATATAACATCGTGCTTGTCAAAACACCTGATAAATACATAGGCCAAAATGGATCTCTAATGAAATATGTGACTTTATCTTACATGATAGGATTAAGGGCATGCTCATTAAGCAAGACCAAAACTGAATGCATCTATCTGCTAAAACCTAGTAAGATAAAACTAGACTCAAAGTATCCTGGACAATTGAAACATCATCTGTCAAATTAAATAAAAGGCAAGTTAGTGTAATTTTAATTTGTCCTTGAGTGCACTGAGAAAAGTAGAATAAAAGCTAGGTAAATAAAAGCTAGAAACGGATCTTATAGTGATAGTGGTACATCAGCTCAAAGAGACAACAAGCCTAACTTTTTTCTTATTTTTTTTAGAGATTGAATCCCACTCAGTCGCCCAGGCTAGAGTGCAGTGGCACCATCTTGGCTCACTGCAACCTCCGTCTCCTAGGCTCAAGCCATTCTCCTGCCTCAGCCTCCCGAGTAGCTGGGATTACAGGTGCCTGTCACCATGTCCAGCTAATTTTTGCATATTTTTAGTAGACACGGGGTTTGACCATGTTGGCCAGGCTGGTCTTGAACTCCTGACCTCAGGCGATCTGCCCACCTCGGCCTCCCAAAGTGCTGGGACTACAGGCGTGAGCCATCATGCTCGGCCCAAGACCTGAATTGAGACACAGGATCTAGAGATTTGCTGGGGAAGATTTAGCCTGATTACTGATTATCAATTATTGCTATAGAACACCTAAAAGTTTACACAAAAAAACTGGGCTGAGATATGTTAATAATAAATGTTGAAATAACGAAAACACTGTCAGATGGTCACATACACATATGCACATCAAAAAGCAATAAACAGGCTGGGCGCAGTGACCCACACCTGTAATCCCAACACTCTAGGAGGTCAAGGCAGATGGATGATCTGAGGTCAGGAGTTCCAGACCAGCCTGGCCAACATGGTGAAACCCCACAACAAAGTGAGATTCTGTCTCAAAAAACAAACAACAAAAAACCCACCAAATACTGTGACTTTCCAAGGAAAGTTGGGAAGCAAGAACTCAACTTTGACAAGAGGATGATTAACGGATTATTTTGAGCGCTCAAATTTGACTAAAGAATTTTGTACTTGAGGGTCTTAAATGTTACATCCTCCTAGGATCTTTGCATTTTAAAATGTCATTGTGTATAAACTTCTTAGGGGAAGTGAATCTTCTACCTCAAACTTGGAGTTTCACCGTGATGTTAATAATGGAGACAGGGAAGGAGGCACAAAGAAAAGACCGTAATTGGGAGATAGGGGACATGATAAGAGTAAAGGGCAAGCTCCTTGCATGACTGAATTAAAATGTTCTAATTTCAAATATATATTTCACATTCAATATAATTTTTACTATAGTCTATGGGCACTTCTTTTTGCCAGAAGGTTATAAATAATATGGTAGACTACTAAACATACAGTTGTACATCCATCTGATCCCTTCCCACGAAAAAGTGGATAAACTTGCAAGATAAACTCATGACACCATGAGCAATGGGAAGCTGGAAACATGAGAGATGAAGTGAGTGACAGTGATTCTGTGCACTGCAAGGAAGCAGACAGTAATGATGAGTGCAGTGGAGGAGCCCCCAGAAAGCCAGCCACTTTAGGGCACAGAGCTTGGGGAGGCCTCAGTAAGTGGGGGTGCAACATGGGGCTGAAAAATAGAGCATTAGCCCAAAGTTTCTAAGAGGAGTTAGATCCTTAACCCAGTTCAACCAGGTAACTGTTCTCATCCACTGAAAACAGGCGGGAGATTGTCAAAGTCCGCGCACTGAATCATGAGCCCATATCCCCACCCACACAACCCTACCATCCTCTTCTCCACTTGGCTTTTAGGACGCTGGCAGCCAAGCTTGCATCTCTAGACAGGAAATCTCAAGATTTTTCTCTGGAACAAAAAAAAAAATGTTTTTTTTTCCTCTGGGAAAACTCAACTCAGAAAAAAGACCCATATGCTGGCTGGCTGCCTTATTATTCTACGGAGAGGACTACAGGCTAGCAAGCCTGGCCCATACTGTAACAGAGAGCTTCAAGTCATTTTTTAAAACATCTCTTTCTCTCTTAAAAATATAAATCAAGGCTGGGTGCAGTGGCTCAAGCCTGTAATCCCAGCACTTTGGGAGGCCGAGGTGGGCGGATCACCTGAGGTCAGGAGCTCGAGACCAGACTGACCAACGTGGAGAAACCTCATGTCTTCTAAAAATACAAAATTAGCTGTGCATGGTGGCGCATGCCTCTAATCCCAGCTACTCAGGAGGCTGAGGCAAGAGAATCGCTTGAACCTGGGAAGCGGAGGTTGCGGTGAGCTGAGATTGCGCCATTGCACTCCAGCCTGGGCAACAAGAGCGAAACTCCATCTCAATAAAGAAAAAAAAATCAAGACATCTGAAGAACCTCTAACAAGAAAGAGAAAATAGGAAACAGACAAAGATTTTTAAAAATTATAGTACAGGCCAAGTGTAGTGGCTCACGCCTGTAATTCCAGCACTTTGGAAGGCTGACGTGGGAGGATTGCTTAAGCTCAGGTGGTGAGACCAGCCTGCCTGGGCAACAAAGTGAGATGCTGTCTCTACAAAAAGTAAAAAACTTAGCCAGGTGTACTGGCATGCACCTGTGGTCCAGCTACTTGGGAGGATCCCTTGAGCCCAGTGGTTGGAGGCTGCAGTGAGCCATCATCACATCACTGCACTCCAGCCTGGGTAAGGGCATGAAACTGAAACAAAAACAAAAACAAAAAATACGTTATAATGTATTCAAAAAGCAAGAGAAACGATTATAGCCATCAACTAGGCTCTGATTATTCTTTAAAAGTCAGTACATTCAGAGAAAAAAAAAGCTCTTCAAAATATCAAGAAAAAAAATAAGTAAATAAAAGGCTAGAAGGCTGGGCACTGTGGCTTGTGGCACATGCCTATAATCCTGGTACTTTAGAAGACCGAAGTGGAAGGATTGCTTGAGTCCAGCAGTTTGAGACCACTCTGGGCAACACAGTGAGACCTTGTTTCTGCAAAAAATATAAATATTAGCTGGGCATGGTGGCACACACCTTTAGTCCCAGGTACCAGGGAGCCCCAGAGTTCGAGAATGCAGTAAGCTGTGATCGCACCACTGCATTCCAGCCTGAGTGACAACAAAACAAAACAAAACAAAACAAAACCAAAACAAAACCCACATACAAAAAAGATTAGATGATAAAGCTGAAGAAAGCATAGAGAAATCAGAACAAAAAGATAATGAGATAAAACATAAAACAGAGGAGAAAAGATAAAAACAGCGGATCAATCCAGGAGGTAAAATGCCTTATATTAACAGGAATTATAAAGAGAGCAGAGAAAATAGAGGGAAGGAAATTTTCAAAGAACTACCACATGACAAATTGCCTGAACTGAAAGACATCAGCGTACATAAGATCTCATAGAGTAGCCAACACAACCATGAAATGACCTAGTCAAGACCTATCATTTTGACATCTCAAGACCCTAGGGAAAAGGAGAAGATCCTCAAACTTTCCAGAAGAAAAACAGAACATGCATCAAGGGATGAAAAATTAGAATGGCAGTCTTCTCAACTGCAGCACTGGAAGCTAGTGGACAAACCAGGAAGAACGACTGCAAGACAGTGAGAGAAAAATCACTTCCAATCTAGAATTCCACACCTAGCCAACTCTCAATTAAGCATGAGGCTAGGATAAAGTCATGCTCAGATATATAGGATCTCAACATTTTTACACTCCCACACACCCTTTCTCACAAAACTACTAAAGGATGATGCACGCCCTTAAATGAAGGCTCACTTTAAGAATGAGGAAGAAATGGGATTCAGGAAACAGAACATTCAATAGAGGAGAGAAAGAAATGAAGATGATGATGTTGATGATCTGCCCCAGGATAAGTTATGAAACAGATCCAAAGAATAAATATCCTAACTGGAAAGTGTGCGTTAGAAAAGATGTGGCCCAAGAAACTTGAAATATAATAATATGCTTCATAAGCATTATACATTTCAAAAAATGAAAAACGATTTTAGAAGTCTATACAAATCTTCCAAATTACCTATTTCATTTTCTGTCCATCACATGGGCATAGGCACTTTAATTTGGAGGAATAATCATGTGACATGTAAGAACAAAAACATGCAAGAAAAGGAACCAAATGAAATAAAAATCCCAAGCTGGTAAGAGATTTCTCATACTCACCATCTCTCTGGCTATTTCCAGCGCTTCCTGCAGGCCATAGAGCCTGCCACAAACCAGGTAGATTCCATTGGCCCAGAGAATACAACCCTCATGGACCCAAAATTCATTGCTGTCAAGAGGTAGTTCAGGGATTTGTAACTCCAGCTCAGGGCCACCTTCTGAAGTGGTGGGCACGGAGGGCTTCGAGTCCAAAACAGTCTTTTCACTGCTGCCCTCAGTGGCTGCTTTTTTACAAGGGAGCCCCCTGGACAGGGACCGAGGGCCTCCACCACAGTCTTCCGAGCGGTGGCGCCGCTTAAACCTGGGGTGTGCGGCCAGGCTTCTCTGCTCCTTCTGCTGCTGCTGCTGCTCTTCCTCCTCCTCAGTGTCCGTCTTGGAGCCATTAGAAGCACTTTTGTGCCGTACCTTAACTTTGCTCTGCATTTCTGTGGCCCTCTTAGGAGGTGGATTCTTCGGGAGAGTGGCTGCATAATCTTGGGGATAAAAAGGTCCAAAGAGGTCACCCATGTTCCGGTAACTGGCCCACTTGCCACACAGACAGCAAACCAGGTGCCCCATAACCGAAGACTCTGTCACAACAGGTCCCTGCAGCATAAAGGACGAGGCCGGGAGCGCCTTGCTTTCAGTGCTGCTAGGTGGAGGGGTCAGTGACCTCTGACCCTTCCTGCCCCTCACTAATTTGGTCTGTTCTTCTTCCTCAGCATTGATGATTGTACAAACGGCTCCAAGTTCACACTTATTTACTACATGGATGTAAGGGTAAAAAGACTTGTTCTTGGCATCAGTTTTATCCAGTGGCTGGGTGGCATATTTTAGTTTGATCTCAGGTTCTTGGGGTTCCACAATGGGAACTGCTTGTTTGGTTTTTCGCTTCCTCGGCTGGGCCCCAGGCTTCCTTCTCTCCCTCCTTTGCCTCTGTTTTTTTGGCTTTGGCTCTCCATCTGCAGAACCTTCTGGTATCTGTGGGGGCTGAGGGGGTGGAGGCGGTGGCTGCTGCTGTTTCTTTTGCTTATTCACACTACCAATGGGTCTCCCCTTCTTCTTTCCTGATGGGAAATATCCCTTTGGAGGGAAACCCTCTTGCTTCGGTGAAATCGTCACTGTATCGTTCTCCTTCTCTTCAGCCTTGGGGTTTGCCTCAGGGGCCAATATGCCCACTGGAGGTACATTCTTTGAGTCTGGAAAGATTAAAGGTGCTGTTCCACCCAGGGAACCATCTGGTCTCCCTTGGTTACTACCAGGCTTCTGTGAGGTTGTGGATGTCATGGCACCAGGGGGTTCCTTTCCGGCAGTAACTGTTTCTGCATGTGTCTCTGTCTTCACTTTGTCATCCACGCTGCCACGCCACTCTTCTGAAGACCTTGGAAGAGGTTTCTCTACGTGCAACTCCTGGTTTGCTGGACTGACTAGGTCCGAAGCCACCTCACCTTTTCTCTTCTCTATGTCAGCATCCTGAACAGCAACACTCCCACCTTCAGGAGGACCACTCTTCAAAGACAGTATATCATCAAGCGTAACCGTGTCTCCCCCAGCCTCCGCACTGTTCGAAGATGCGCTCCTCCTAATATTTGGGGATGTAATCTTCTGAACTATAGCTTCCAATTTCAATCCCCGTCCTTTCCGTGGGGGCAGTATTTTGGTCTTAGCAGGGCTTGTGAGGGTAACAGCAGGGCAGTTTCTACTATCTGGACTTGGAAGGTCCTTGGAGGAATCTCTCTTAGGGATAGACTTGATATCCTGACTGTGAGAAAGATGGGCATAGGAATTGAATGCTTTATCAGCGCCTTCTTTTGATGAGTGAAGGAGGCGACCTTTATCTTCAGTGCTACTGTTCTTTACATCTTGTGACTGTCTCTTACTGGGAATGGGAGAGATAAAAGAACGAACACGCCTCCTCATGATTAAGGGGTTTTGAGAAGAATGATCCTCCTGGCCTGGAAGTCTCAGCATAACACTACCAGGTTTGGATGACTGTGTAGCCTCAGCTAGTCCATGTCCATCAGTCTCATGGGGCGGCCCATACCTTTTTTGACTGGACATTCCTGGAGGACCGCTGCTTTTGGCTGGAGAAGTTTGCCGAGAAAGATCCCAACAGGATTCTTGTAACTTCTGGGAGCCATGCTTTAATTCCATGCCCTTGTTAGGCAGACCATCACTAGACATTAGGCAGCGCCCAGCCTCCTGGGCACTGGGGTCATGGTAAGTCCCCACTGGTGGGCCATACATCATACCATCTTTGTCATTTTTCAGAGGGCTCCGTACTCTGTCAAGAAACTGCTGCTGCCTTGGACTCTTCCGTGGCCCCTCCTGCCTGTGCTGTGCTGCAGCAATTACTCCCTGAGCAGAACCGCTGCTCCAGTCTTTATACTCCTCTGGTTGCTGTTGGTACATCTGTCTCTTATAATGCAGCTGAGAATTCAAACCTGCGTTAGGGTCCCCATAAGCATGAGCCCGAGTATTTGCATGATAAGCAGAGGCCAGGGTTTCTGAGTTGGGAGAAAAGGGAGTGTGTAAAGAACTCCGGTTAGCCCTCTCTGAAAAGGTCATGTGTGGATTCATGTGATGAGGGTCTCCCCCTGGGCCTCTGCTCCGCCCAGGAGACATTTTCAATTTTTCTGCAAAGTCATGATATTGAGAAGGGGACCGACCCCTCATGCCCTCCCGACCACCAACTCTGCCAGGGACCCGCCGCATTGGCGTGGGTCTGCTGTCTTGCGGGCCATAGTCTGAAAGGGAATCATGGGTTGCTGCTCCAGGGCTGGCATTGCCGCGGTAAGACTCATGCTTGATGCTAGGAGGATGGCAGTGGTCTCCAGATTTCTTGTTGTTGAAACTAGCTTGAGATTTAGACTGTTCAAAGTCTTCCTCTTTTATCTGCCCGCTCTGGGATTTCAGCTTGGTTTCCATGGACACCAAACCACCAGGAAGAATGACCGACTGACTTAAAGTTGGATTGAGACGGTCATTCCTCCCAATTCTGGTGTCGGCACTCATGTGTCCCAGTGAGTGAGCCCCTGGGTCCCTGACAATCTGTCTTAGTGGAGAAATATCACAGATCACTGATCTTCTTTCAGAGAGGGAACCCCCAGGCTCATGTGCTGATGACTGAGGCTCTATTTCAAACTTTCTGGGAATTGGATAGTCAGTCAAATTGATCTGTTTCATTTCAGGAGCTGTGCTGCTTGATTTCCTTTCCCAGGGGCCCCAGTGGGGATTTTCTAATAGAGACCCAATGCTTTTGTTCAGAAGGCCCCTGCTAGCTAATTCATTGGTTTGACTAACCAAGACATTGGGCCTTGTGGTTCCTTCTAGGCTACCAGCCATCCCCTGATGCTCTTGAGTACTCCTAGAATATCTCCTGTCAGGGTGGTGGTGGTAACCCTGAAGCACTTCCTGCAGGAGGCTTGGGAATTTTTCATTTCTACCCTTTCGTTCCCCATGGCCAGTGAAATCTCCCTTTTCTTGCCCTGTAGGATACTGAGGAAAGCCACTGACATTTCGTGGCACGGCTGACCCGAAACTATCTTTGTAACTATAGCGCAGACTTCCAGGAGATTTGCTAGGCTCAGTTCTGCTCGTAAAACCAGGGCCCGCTGCAGAGTGGCCACTCTGGCCATTTCCTTCTCCATTATGGTTGGAGTTGTTATCGCCATTCTTGTTTCCTTTGCTCCCTCCTCCTCCTGGAGGCTCTGGCTGGGGAAGTGATGCATGACTGGTTTCCTTTGCCCCACCATTGCTAGGTGGCCTTTGAGTGGCTGCAGGATCATCCTCTTGGGAGCCTTTATCTTGTCCACCAGGCTTTTCTACCCGACCTGTCATGGCTTCCCGGGAGACAATCACCCCAACAGTCTTCTCATTAACCTTTGGGTTCCCGTCGGATGACAATGGCATGTCCTTAGCGCCTGGTGAGGTGGCCTCTTCTCTTGCGGCAGGACTAGCATTGAGTCTGGGGGGTTCATTCTGAGCACCTTGTGCCGGTGAGGAGCCAGCTTTCTCAGAGGCTCCACCCTTGTAGGTGGTGTCAGAGCTGGTGCTCTGGCCACTTAGTTGCCGCACTCTCTCGCCTTGATCCTCTGAACTGCTGGAGCAGCCTCCATCTAATGACTCTGCCATAGGGGACTTCAGCTGTTCTTCAGGTTGTGAGGAGCCTTCAGAATTTGTGCAGCTATCTGCTTTCTTGGAAGATGAGGGCCTCTTGGAGGTCTTCTTCTGAGGAGTCAGGGCATCAGAAAGTAACATGTGCTGGACAGTGTTAGGAAGATTGGCCACTTGAGTACTCAGAGCACTCAAACTACTCAACCCAGGATCTGTCAGTCGCTTTTCTGGTACCCCTTCTAGTCCAAACCCTTTGAAGCCTGCAGCATGAGAATTAGGACTGGGCATCATTGATGGGGTTGGACTGAGTTGAGGCATTAACTGTAAAATTCTGTTTCTGGAACCCATAGGCACACTGCCTTGCCCACACTGGAGATTCTCCCCAGTCTGCATGAGAGGAGATGGGGTAGAACTACAGCTTGGAGACTGAACCACAGAGGCAGCTGGAGAAGGGTTAGAAATGGGGCTGAAGTTCTGGTGAAACTGCATGGGGGACCTCACAGGAACCTCAGGCTGGTTGTACTGCCCCACTTGGCTTTGCAGGGGCAGCTTGGTGGCAGCGTTAGTATACTGCATCACATGCTGAGAAGGGTGTTGTTGTTGCTGCGGTTGCTGCTGCTGCTGCCCCTGTTGGGTCCCTTGTGGAATCTTTGCCTGTTCAAAATTCTTCATAGATTGAGGCTGATAGCTGTAATTGGATTGTGTTCCATAAGCCTGTGCATTAGAACCCACATTGTGTCCTTCATACTGAGATCCAGCATTCACATTGTAACTGCCATCATAGCTCTGTCCAGACTGGCTAAAACGCTGTGGTGAAGGGAAGGAGGAGGAGGAGGAGGAGGAAGCAGAAGACTGATAGTGTTGGCCAAACTGACCCACTCTTAACTGGTAACCAGCAGCAGAGGATGGCAGAGTTGAGGGCCGCTGCATTGGCTGTAGATGGGATGAGCTGGATGCTGGTTGGCCAGTGGCCTGTGGCAGGGGCTGATGGGACTGGTAAAGCTGTTGTCTCAACTGCTGGACTTGCTGCTGCTGCTGCTGGCTGGAAGCCTGCTGTTGGTACTGAGCACTCCCTGGAGAGAAAGGCCCAGTGTAATCCTGCTGATAATGTGACACACCGCCAAGGCCAGAGTGCTGTGCTTGAAACTGGCCCACATGACCCTCACTCCCATACTGATTGCCAAAGCTGCTCCCCTGGGGGGGTCCATAGCTCTGCACAGGCCCAGAAGGCCTTCGCTGAGGAGGCTGTGGGGTTCCTGTAGTCACGGGGTCTTTGTTGCCTGCCATGTAGTAAAAATCTCCAGCCTCTTTCCTGAAACCCTGGTAACCTTGATGGCCAGAGGTCTCGCTAGCCATCGCTGCCGCAGCAGCTGCTGCTCCTCGTCGTCCACCACCACTGCCACTGCCACTGCTGCCACTACTGCCACCTGTACCTCCAAAATTCTGGAACATCTGGGCCTGACGAGGGCTGAACTCTTCTAGCCGGGATGAGCCGTGTACCTCCTGTGGGTAGCTTTGCTGGTTTCCGTGGTAACTGCTTTGCTCCCGAAAGGACTGCATACTGTTCAGCAGCACAGCAGCAGGCCAACAGCCCTCCTAGAAATAGAAGAAAGAAAAACATTAGACACGCATCTCCTTGGTACAAATAAAATCAAGTCTAGATGATGGAGGGAATAAAGATGAATCAGAGGCCCAGATGAAGCTGACTGGTTTGAATTTCTATTTTTTTTTTTTGGTTTTTTGAGACAAGAGTCTCACTCTGTCACCCAGGCTGGAGTGCAATTGCACGATCTCAGCTCAATGCAACTTCTGCCTGCAGGGTTCAAGCAATTCTCTTGCCTCAGCCTCCCGAGTAGCTGGGACTACAGGCGCATGGCCACCAGGCTCGGCTAATTTTTTGTATTTTTAGTAGAGACAGGGTTTCACTGTGCTGGCCAGGCTGGTCTCGAACTCCTGACCTCGTGATCCGCCCACCTCGGCCTCCCAAAGTGCTGGAATTACAGGCATGAGCCACCACGCCTGACCTTGAATTTCATCTTTTATATTTTATCCTATCCACTTCTGAAAATGCACATATGCAGAGAAATGGCCTAAAGAGTGAGGCAAGAATCTGTAGTAGAATGAAAAGCAGCACTCTGAGTGCATACAAACCCAATACAGCAAAAACATGTATGTCTCATATATCTAATAATGCCTTATTAGACAAATGAGCCCCCAAACTCAACCAGATTAAAATATGGGGCTGTGTTATTACTGTCAATGAAAAACAGCAATTTTTCAATAAGCCTCCCAGTTATGCGGGGGAGGGGGTGTGGGGTAAGAAAAACCAAATCCTTTTTTTTTTTTTTTTTTTTTTTTTTTTTTTTTTTTGAGACAAGGTCTCACTCTTGCCCAGGCTGGAGTGTGCAGGGGCACAGTCGTAGTTCACTGCAGCATCAAACACCTGGCTTCAAATGATCCTCCTGCCTCGGCCTCTCAAAGTTTTGGGACTACAGGCATAAGCCACTACTTTCATTTCTCTGCTTTCATGTATTAGGGTGATCACTGAACTGCGGGTTTTAACACTGGCTGCTGATCGCCACTCCCCAACACTGAGAAACAGACCTGGCCAGAGAACTGCAGCCAATTCCTTATGTCCAAGTGCAAATTTTTGCAGCTTTACTATAATTGCCAACTACCTGTGATGACTGGTGACTCCAGGACACTCAGCCCATATGGGTTCCACACAAACTTTGGAGTCAACCTCTTCTTGGCATATGACTGTGTCTACAGCACCCCTCTCTCCACCACTCTCCTTCAATTCCCAGGTACAAAGGGCTAGACTTAAGCCAGTGAATAGCAGTGACTATTCTTCCAGATTATTTTGGGAGGTTTCCAAGAAGTTCCAGCACCTTTACCCGCCATGTGGTATTTGTATTTGCCAGTTTTTTAAATTCACAGTTATTACTGGCCATTACTATGAAAGAATTAGAAGCAATCATCTTGGAGGACAGCAAAAAACAGAGAGGAAAATAGGAATTCATCAAGCCTAGGACCCAGACTCTTTCAAAGTTATCTGACTGAGCCACCACTTTGTATTACCTATTATAATCCCTCTTAATCAATCAAGCTGATTTTTTCCCCTTTCACCTGGGCCTGTCTCCTCAGAGTCAGAGATGAAAGGGACAAGGCCAAATTGCTCCAAGTGACTTTAGAACCAATTACTTAAAAAAACAAGTTCCAAAATACATATAGGGTAAAGTGAGGTGTAATAGACAGTTTAGTTTAGTTACAATGGTTTATGAAGCTAGTTTCCTAGTTCCCCTGAAGGGGAGCTGAAAATGGAGTTGCCTGCAGGAAAGTCAACAACCTTTTTAAAGGTAAGTCAGATTTATCCTCTCCAATCCCTGGAGTGGCTCCCACCTCATTCTTTGGGAAACTGGTCTCAAAGGCCCCTGCTCCCACCCCCTTGACCTCTCTGAGCTCCTCCCCTATCACTCTCTGCTCTAGCCCCACAGTTGCCTTGTTCCTGGAACAGGCCTACCACATATCTACATAGGAACTCTGTTCTCACCTGCACGTTCTTCTCCCAGAGCCAGATAGCTTGCTCTCCTTCCAGTCTTTGGGCAAGTGTCACTCATTCCCTGGTCATTCTAGTAAAAACAGCCAGCTCCACACCTTTTCCCTGGCTGTAACTCCCTCCCCTGTTTTATCCCCTGCCTGGCCCCATACTTACTCCAAACAGACACATATATGCTACTTTTTTACTGTCTGTCTCTCCTCTGACTAAAATGTAAACTCCTTAAAGGGCAGAAACTGACTGTTCCTTGCTGTAATCCTCACGTCATCACACCGGAGTCTGTGTGAATGATTAAATGGTGTAAGAACTAGGCCTTAGAGAACTAGGCTAGAACTCACATATTCAGAGATGGTGCTGTGGGAGTGACATGAGAGAATTATAGAAAGTGAAAATAGAATATGATCAACCTAAAAGCAGAGCTGGAGGATGCTGAAGACCTTGCCTGTAAAATCCCATGAGTCCGGTTCTAAGGGAAAGACCCAGCTTGAGTCCACATGAGAACTGAGGAAAGACTTCAGAAAGTAAATATTGATTAGAGCAGAAGATGGCCAGTAACCCCAAATTCTAAAAGCTTGACCCATATCTTGAAATATCGTAAGTCTAAAACAGCTAGACAAGGGTCTACTTCCTTAAGCTTGATTATATAGTCATGTGACCCAAAACAATCGCTAAACATTCATGTGCAAATAATGTCAGAATCTAAAGGAAACTTCTCATCCTATTCAAAATGCCTCTGTTGCTTTGTTCCAGTGAATCTGCAGGGCAGTAGGTAATAGCTATTCAAATGGTGATGATGCTGCTTGACACTGTTCCAGCACTTCACATACACTAACTCATTTAATCCTCACAACACTAGCACGCTCCTTTTACAGATGAGGAAACAGAAGCAGAGTTCACAAAGCTCCTAGGCAGCAGGGCTGGGGGCAGGACATGTTTTTAACATTACATTGCCCAGAGGGTCTTCCACATGGTCAGTAAAAAATACCAGTTGTCCTGTCAGTTTGGCCTTGAAAGTGGGTAGCCACCCACAATAAATCTGTCCCTTCACTGCCACCCTCTTATAAGGACCTCCATACTGTTCCAGCTGGCTCTTCACCCCCTCCCCATCATTCTTAGAACTATCAAGAGCAATTCTGTCTACATGAGTATTAATTTTTTCCCCTTGTGATGTGCTCCTGCTCTACTCCTCAGTGCCAGTGGCCTTCTCTAGATAAAACAAGGCTGAATGGGGGCTAAATTGAACAAAAACATTAAAGCTAGCAGTTTAAACTAATGAAAAGCCTTCTCAAGAGATATTCTCTATAAAAAGCTATGTTACATGTTGTTTAATTAATCCTTCTGGAAATAAAATCAGGCTTCTGAAGATCTGAGTGTATAAACAATGTTGCCACTTGCTCCATATTCTTCCTAAATAGGAGCCACCAAGAGCTAAAGGCCACTTTAAACATCAGGGTATCAGGCCTGAGGCTGCCCTATCTCCAGACAGGGAAAACAGATACAGGAAGGACTCCTTCTTAGGTCTGTTCTCAGCCTTCCCCTGCAGATTCCCTGTCCTGTATGATACCCCTTTCCCTATTGTTATGGTTCTACTTTATGAAAAAGAAAAAAAAAAAATCCAAGGCCAAATACCTCCTGCAGGGTTCCAGTCATGCTAAATATTCTTAGTATACATGAAGCACCTGAGTAGGAGAAGGTGGTTGCCCAGGTTTATCTTTTTTAGGAATGCCAAGTAAACCAATTAAGAAAACCAAGTAGCATATACCAACGACAGAAAATGTAAACCTGGAGCTATAAAATAAGTAATAGGCTGGGTGTGGTGGCTCACACCTGTAATCCCAGTGTTTTGGGAGGCTGAGGTGTGAGGATCGCTTGAGGTCAGGAGTTCAAGACCAGCCTGGGTTAAAAAAAATTTTAAATGCACAGTGTCATGAGGTGTGCCTACAGTCCCAGCTGCTCAAGAGGCTGAGGTAGGACGATTGCTTGAACTCAGGAGTTCGAGGCTGCAACGAGCTATGAATGTGCCAATGTGCTCCACCCTGGGTGACAGTAACCCTGTCTCAAAAAAAAAAAAAAAAAAAAAAAAAAAAAAAAAAAAAAAAAAAAAAAAAAAAAAAGCTAATAGAGATAATTCCAATTTTATCCCATCATCTTAAAAAAAGCATCAGTGTAGTCAGTTTTAAAGCACTGTGATTAGTAATAATAAGTGCCTGAATTCCTTTGTTTAAATGAATACAAATAGTAAGGAAAATCTGATACCTCAAAGGAATAAGTCACCTAAGGAACTTGCATACACACTCTAAAAAAGAGGCTGGGCACAGTGGCTCACCCCTGTAATCCCTGAACTTTGGGAGGTCAAGGCGGGCAGATCACTTGGGCTCAGGAGTTCGAGACCAGCCTGGGCAACATGGCGAAACCCTATCTTTATAAAAAATACAAAAATTAGCCAGGCATGGTGATGCGTGCCTGTAGTCCCAGCACCTCGGGGGGCTGAGGCAGGAGGATCGCCTGAGCCTCGGAGGCAGAGGTTGCAGTGAGCAGAGATCGCGCCACTGCCCTCCAGCCTGGGCAACAAAGCGAGATTCCGTCTCAATAAATAAATAAAAAAGAGGCCTACCGATGTACTTCCCATCCATAATGACTCTCCCTTTCCTGTTTTTCTCCTATATTCCTAACTTTCTGAACAGTTTCAGAAGGGCTGTGGAGGTGTATTAGTGAGGTCCAGAACTCTGTGCCTAAACATTCCAGAGTCCATGTGCCGACCTCACAAACTCACTCATAACCAGCTGCAGACTTGTTCTCCCCATCCTATTAGAGGGCTGATGACCTTGCCCTCTTATAGAAAACCAACATTGGCTTTCTCTGTCCTTCTTCCTCCATATGTCCAACAACATCCCACTTCCCAATCCATTCTCTTTTTTGGAAAGAGAGTCTCACTCTGTTGCCCAGGCTGGAGTGCAGTGGCATGACCACAGGCTCACTGCGGCCTCAACTCCCAGCTCAGGCAATCCTCCTGCCTCAGCCTCCCAAGTAGCTGGGACCACAGGCATGGGACCCCTGGCTAATTTTTAAAAAATAATTGGGACTATGGCTAATTTTTATAATTTCTTAAAAATAGAGACAGAGTCTCACTGTGCTGTCCAGGCTGGTCTCAAACTCCTGGGCTCAAGCCATCCTGCTGTTTCAACCTCCCAAAGTGCTAGAATTCAGCCATTGTGCCTGGCCCCAGCTAATTTTTTCATCCTCTGTCATGATTTTCTGCTTATTCTCCTTCTTTGCCTTTAAATCCTCAAGACATTGACAATGATGCATCTAGTTATAGCCTGTGTAAGGGATATTCCCTGTTTGCCCCCACAGCCTCTCCTCACCCATCTCCACCCTACTCTATGCCCTAGAACGGACAATGGAAGGACAACTGACAGGCCCCACCACCCTTGCCTTCTGACCCAGTTTGGCTGGTAAGAGGCAGGAGAGGAGGAAAGTGAGAGGAACTTACTCTCCTGGCTCCCACCCCGAGGTTACTGAGGCTGGCTGAGACCCTCCACCAATGGCTGCAGCTCCATCGGGCAACCTCAACATATAGCCACTTTCTCCAAACTCCAGGAACCACTTCATCCTCTGCCCTTCAGGTCTAGAAGGCAGTAGGTAACAACTCCCTGCTACTGCTAGCACAGAAGACTTCACTTTCCTGTTGGCTTCCCCAAACCCTGCTCACCCTTTCCAGTCCCTTTATTAATCTTCTGCATTGTTGTCAACTCAGCATCGTGACCACCCTCCTTCCAAGCTCTCCTCTGCAGATCAGAAGCTGAGAACTTCCGTTCCAGAACCCTTTAGCAGCATGGTTCTGGGTTAGAGTTTGCAATGAGAAGTGCAAGAGAGATTTAGAAGGCAAAATAAACGTAGAGGTTGATGATATTCCCTGGAGGTAGATGCAGCACACGTGGATTCATAGCGGCTTCCCCATGAGCTCACGAGAACCATTCACTATGACACTTCAGTATGAAATCATCAGGAACCTTCCCAATTCCAGTTCTTCCAGGGTTGGGTAAAGCCTTAATTCCTGTATCAAAACCATTCATACCGGAATAGACAACTTCTCTTTTCCTGAATGAACCCTGAATGATACAATTAAACACTCCTTAAATTACCCAGTTTGAATGTGCCATCTGTTTTCTACTGGGACCCTGACTGATAAGAGTTCTTCTCATTCCTAGGATTTCAGAGTAGACTATTGCCACTTGGGGAATGAGAGACTTCTATTTCATGCACTATGACATAGAACAGGGACTAAAAATCCTCCCTCAACAAAACACTTAGAAATGTCAGACAAAATGTATAGCCAAGTTGCAAGAAAGTAAGAAATGCCCAAAGTCCAAAATTGGATGAGATACTATGAAGAGAGTTGCAGGCAGGTGCTGGGCTCTGAATGCCAAGGATGTGGGGTCTATAGGGCTTATTAACCATATGGCAAAGGGTTTTTTTTTTTTTTTTTTTTTTTTTTTGAGACGGAGTCTCGTTCTGTTGCCCAGGCTGGAGTGCAGTGGCGATATCTCGGCTCACTGCAAGCTCCGCCTCCCGGGTTCACGTCATTCTCCTGCCTCAGCCTCCCAAGTAGCTGGGACTACAGGCGCCCACCACCGTGCCTGGCTGATTTTTTGTATTTTTAGTAGAGACAGGGTTTCACCGTGTTAGCCAGGATGGTCTCGATCTCCTGACCTCATGATCCGCCCGCCTCAGCCTCCCAAAGTGCTGGGATTACAGGCATGAGCCACCGCGCCCGGCCCCATATGGCAAAGGTTTTAATGACCATGCAGAGACAGAGCAAGGCCTCTGGCCCTCTAGACAGATCAGTACTTAAGGACTCTGGACAGTGTCACTTGTGACTGTAATCATTTCTAAAAGACAACAAATGCATTTATTATTAGGCAGTAACTAACTCATTTTCAATGACAAAGATAAGGTTGTTCTTCCTCAACTGACCCAACTGCCTATTCTCAAAGAAAACCATGATCATCCCAAGCAAGAAGCTTTAGAATAACCCCAAACTGACCTTTCACTTTGACTCTGTATTTACCATGCCACCTCATCATGACACTACTCTCCTTCCTGTATTTGTCCTTTCCCATTCCATTCTCGTCACTGTCATTTTCATCTTTCTTGGGCTAGAATAACACCTGAAAAGTTCTCTTTCCCAGTACTTTCTTTTGCTTAACTGCCATTTTGACACCATCACACCCCCCCATAGGCCCTGAAGCCCTGTGACATCTTCCCAACACAATTTCTGCTTCTCCCCACCCTCTCAAACAAGCCTGCTCAGCCCCCTTTGTGCCATCGGCCCACTCTCACCTTGGTCTCAACTTGGAGCCTTTTAAGCATCCCCAGGCCCATAAATTCCTTCTTGCCACATGAGATCATATGGTTCTTAAGAGCTCTTAGAATGTGTCCTGCTGTATCTTAAGAGCTCCTAAAATGTGTTATCCATGTGATTTTCTCTACAAATCTTCCTCTAAGCAGAGAATGTGTTGGCTTTACCTTGCTTAGTAAAAACAAACCAATTAAAGTATTTACCTTTAACCAGTATCTAAGGTATGTACCACTGATATAATAAAAATTGCTGGCCGGCCACAGTGGCTCACACCTGTAATCCCAGCACTTTGGGAGGCCGAGGCAGGCAGACTGTTTGAGCTCAGGAGACCAGCATGGGCAACATAACAAGACCCCGTCTCCACAAAAAATACAAAAGAATTAGCTGGGTGTGCTGGCTTGTGCCTGTAGTCCCAGCCACTCCAGAGGCTGAGGCAGGAGGATCACTTGAGCCTGGGAGGCAGAGGTTGCAGTGAGCCGAGGCTGCACGCTACTACACTCCAGCCTGGGTGCTACAGTAAGACCTGTCCCAGTAAATAAATAAATAATTGCCATTTATTTAGCAATCTATATATGTTAGTCACTGTGTGGTTTTACCTGTAACTCAATTAATGAATGAGGGGGAAAAATTAATGTAATTTTTTCCAAAAGTCCAAATTTTCCAAAAGTCACTCCTCTAGGACAAGTTGGAGCTGACATTCTGTAACTCCAATTCTTCTGATTCTAGAGCCCATAACCCTTTCTTTCACTGTACCACAAAATTAGGCAAGGAAGATCCAAATGCATATTTTTGAAAATCCTGACACACACTTGGGTCAGATCTCTAATAACTGTAGCTATCAATTATTGCCATGCCTCACACATGTGACACACTATCAGGTGCTTTACACAAATGTTAATGCATTTCATCCTTACCATGATCTAAGAAATGTTAGTAATCCTTTTTGTAAATGGAGACTCAGAAGTTAAACAAGCAAAATATTCATGGTAAACAATGAGATAAGATATATAATATGCCCACTGCAAAACCCAGTCTGTATTTCCCAATCTGTGACATTGGGAAGCATTTTAGAAAGGAATCTTGAGGAATCTTGCTAGAATTTAGTTGACTGCTTGTACCTAGATATATCTGTAACACCTGTATCGTTTGTTTTGTGTATGTGCAAATGTGGGATCTTCCTAAGTGTATCAAGCATAAAGATCTGCTCAGTGACTTAATATTTCATACTCTATGTCCTGTTTGCACATGGGCAGAGCCTATATTTTTCTCAGTGGCTAAAAGTTATCTTAGTGTAATAGGACTTCAGAATAAAATGAAGTGTAATGAAGGTGCTGGCTTCCTCCCTGACTTGGGAGATCAGAAGAGTCTGAAAGCAACTCAGAATTCGCAAGTCAGTTCCTTGTCTAGAAGGAAAGAAACCCACAAGAATGCTGCATATCTAAAAAGATTGCTTTCTGGGTGTCAAAACTCATATTAGCCATGTAAGCCATAAAAAATATCCACCTTGAATCATGACCAAATACATGCAGGCAAAAACTAGGGGGATAAATTTGTAACTATTACATTTCCTGGCCAGGCGCAGTGGCTCACGCCTGTAATACCAGCACTTTGGGAGGCCGAGGTGGGCGGATAACGAGGTCAGGAGATTGAGACCATCCTGGCTAACACAGTGAAACCCCGTCTCTACTAAAAATACAAAAAAATTAGTCGGGCGTGGTGGTAGGCACCTGTAGTCCCAGCTACTCAGGAGGCTGAGGCAGGAGAATGGCGTGAACCTGGGAGGCAGAGATTGCAGTGAGATCGCACCACTGCACTCCAGCCTGGGCAACAAGCGAGACTCTGTCTCAAAAAAAAAATTTCCTAAAAAATTTAAAAGATGATATCCCATCTGGTTAGGTTAGGCTAAAGCTGGTACAAAAAAAAAAAAAAAAAAAAAAAAAGCACCATAAATGATTATGACTCTTGGAAAAGAAAACTGGTAATAAAACAGTCAACCAAACAAAAAAACAAAATACCAACATATTCACTCCAGTAATATGTATTAGAAGAAAAAACTGGCAACAACCTATTTGAAAATTGATTAAACAAATTATGGTATATCCACTCAAAGAAATAGTACATAATCATTTTAAACAATTGCAAAGACTCTAGCACCATAGAAAATTACGTAGTATCAGATGAAAAGAGCAGCTCACGTAAACTTATACCTGTGCTATGATTATAACTATCTGAAAATGAGGCATTCATTTAGTCCCAGGCCAAAGGGAATAATGGAGAAAAAAGGAAAACTTCTGGACTATCCAAGATGGCAGTGTTGTGGAAGTATTTTTTCCCCTTTTCATTTCTATTTACATTAATTTTTGTGTAGGAAATAATCACTTTTTTTTTTTTTTTTTTGAGACAGAGTCTTACACTGCACTGCTGGAGTGCAGTGGTGCAATCTTGGCTCACTGTAGCCTCTGCCTCCCAGGTTCAAGCAATTCTCCTGCCTCAGCCTCCCAAGTAGCTGAGATTACAGGTGCCTGCCACCACGTCCGGCTAATTTTTGTATTTTTAGTAGAGACAGCATTTCGCCATGTTGGCCAGGCTGGTCTTGAACTCCTGACCTCAAGTGATCCACCTGTCTTGGCTTCCCAAAGTGCTGCGATTACAGGGTGAGCCACAGTGCTCAGCCAAAATGTCATTAACCTCATTTAAAAATTACAACCCTTAGGCCGGGCGCGGTGGCTCACACCTGTAATCCCAGCACTTTGGGAGGCCGAGGCGGGTGGATCATGAGGTCAGGAGATCGAGACCATCCTGGCTAACAAGGTGAAACCCCGTCTCTACTAAAAATACAAAAAATTAGCCGGGCGCGGTGGCGGGCGCCTGTAGTCCCAGCTACTCGGGAGGCTGAGGCAGGAGAATGGCGTGAACCCGGGAGGCGGAGCTTGCAGTGAGCCGAGATTGCGCCACTGCAGTCCGCAGTCCGGCCTGGGCGACAGAGCGAGACTCCGTCTCAAAAAAAAAAAAAAAAAAAAAATTACAACCCTTGAACTATCTCAACAGTATCAGAGCTTTATCTGTTCCTACTGACAGCAAAGTGCTGCTCTGCCCAAGGGAAAGAAATAGAGGCACAGGGGACCCCACAAGTCAGAAGCAGGAGGGAAGGGAGGAGCCTGCCAGACAGGACCTCTACTTCAGGAAACCTGGTGCCAATGCCACACACAGGGTTGTTGGACACCACAGTGCCCAGGCAAGTGTGCACACAGGGTCACTAGCTCAAAATTATTTTTTGAGAATCAGGCCTAAAGTCAGCTGAATTCCAACCCACAGTCGGCAGGCCTATTATTAGGCATAATTTCAAACAGCCAAGAGGCTGCAAGCATCCTATATCTACCACATGCTTCTGTAACTCTGCAAGGAGATGCTATAAATCTGCTCCTGAGCAGACCAAAGGCACCTGGGCCCTATCCTGGCCCCACCCCCACTCCATGGCTATCTGTCTTATTTTCACAGGGGCATCCCAAGATCACTTCAGATGACCACATATGTGAGCAGGATGGCCAAACAGTTCCCAAAAAGGGGGCAGGAGAAGGGTGGGAGCAGGACATCTCTGGGGCTAGCTAGAGGCTCCTGTGGGATTTTCTTAAATGCTGAGCGTAGGGGCTTCTGAGATGTCATTGAATATATTTTTTCATTCAAAGGTTGTATTAATACATAATTTCTAAACCTTCAGAGGCAAAAGGGAGGTAATTAGTGTTGCCACTTATAGGCTAAAAGGATGTTCCATTTTATAATTCATTCAAATATAATTTTGAGGCCGGGCCTGGTGGCTCAAGCCTGTAATCCCAGCACTTCGGAAGGCTGAGGCAGGCAGATCACACCTGAGGTCAGAAGTTCAAGACCAGCCTGGCCAACATGGTGAAATGCTGTCTCTACTAAAAATACAAAAACTGGCCACATACGGTGGCGGAAACCTATAATCCCAGCTACTCAGGAGGCTGTGGCAGGAGAATCGCTTGAACACAGGAGGTGGAGGTTGCAGTGAGCCAAGATCACGCCACTGAACTCCATCCAGCGTGGGTGACAGAGTGAGATTCTGTCTCTTAAAAAGAAATAATAATAAAACAAACAAATACAATTCTGAATTAAAATTCAA
The DNA here is from genome assembly GCF_000001405.40 of Homo sapiens. NCBI lineage: Eukaryota > Metazoa > Chordata > Mammalia > Primates > Hominidae > Homo > Homo sapiens. The sequence continues at coordinate 137,004 of NW_003315971.2, forward strand.
AAGATATCAATGACCAATCCAAAGCAGAAGTGGGCAAAAGCTATATGAAAATTAGAGACTTCACTGAACAACCCAAAAAAGCTCAAAACAAAAGGAAAGAAACAAACTAGCAGAACAAATGGTATAGCTAGATAAAAAGGGCTAGTATTGTAAAGACGTTAAGTCTCCACATATTAGTTTATAAAATTCTAATAGGTTCCAGTCAAAATCTCAATAGGATATTAAAAAATAATTTTTAAGACTGGGCGTGGTGGCTCACGCCTGTAATCCCAGCACTTTGAGAGGCCAAGGCAGGCAGAACACACGAGGCCAGGAGTTCAAGACCAGCCTGGCCATTACAGTGAAACCCCGTCTCTACTAAAAATACAAAAATTAGCTGGGCATGGTGGCACATGCCCGTAATCCTAGCTACTCGAGTGGCTGAGGCACAAGAATCACTTGAACTCTGGAGGCTGCAGTGAGCTAAGATCGTTCCATTGCACTCCAGCCTGGGAGACAGAGCAACAGCCTCTCTCAAAAAAAAATAGTAATTTTAAATTACTTCAAATGTACAGAAAAGTGCAAAAATAGTTCAAAGGGCTCACATACCCTCTTTCAACGAGATTCTCCAACTGATGCTTTACCTCATTTGCTCCATTATCTTTTCCTGACCCCTTTGAGAGCAGGCTGAAGGCATGAAGCTCCATTGTTGCTCAATACTCTAGTGCGTTATTTCCAAAAACAAGGACATTCTCCTCCATAACCAGCATACAAGCCTCCACATCAGGAAATCAACACTGATACTACACTCTCAATCCAATCCATAGACCCCATTTGAATTTTGTCAGCTGTCCCAACAATGTCTTTCCTTTCTAGTCCAGGAGTCTACCCCAGAGCTACATCTCACCAGTGTCAATCAATCTGGAATAGTTCCCTTTTCTCTTCCTGACTTCCATGTCCCTGCCAGAGTAAAGTCTTTTCATTTTGCAGGATAACCCTCAATCTGATCTGTATTTCCTCGTGACCGGACTCAGGTCATGCTTCCTTAGCGGCAATACCAGACACATGGTGCTGTATTCTTCCCAGGACATTGCATAAGAAGAAGACTGATGGCAACCCATCCCACTACTGCTGATATTTACCACATTCACCTGGTCAAGCTTATTAGAGATGTAGTGTCTCAGGCCCCACAGACCTACAGGATCAGATTCTGCATGTTAACAAGGTCACTAGCAAGTCACACATATGTTACTGTTTGTGAAGTACCAGTGAAAGGTCTTATAAAAAGTAAGAGCCACATGGGGAAGTTCAGATTTTATTAGAAGCCTTTGGAGGGTTTTAAACTATAGAGTGGCATGATCTGGTTTCAGTTCTTAAATGGCTCCTCTGGCTGTTTTGTGGAAAACAGACCAGGGGAGGGGCAAGGACAGAGCAGGGAATTAGTTAGTTGGTAGTCTGGTTAAGGGACGTTGGCTGCATGGGTGAATGTGGTGTTGATGGAGGTAGTGACACACAGTCAAAACGGACACAGTCTGAAGTCAGAGCCAACAGAAATTGCTAACGGATCAGAAGTGGACATGAGAGTCATAACAACAATGATAAACAGCAGCAGCCAACACTAGTTAAACACAAGCCATGTGCCAGCCACTGCTCCATGTCTTTTCAGGTGAAAATTCATTCAACTGTCACAATAATCCCCAGAGGTACAAGTGACAACCCCACTTTATTCAAATGAAGACAACATGGTAGAGAGAGGTTGTGTAGCTGCCCAAGGCCTCAGATCTGAGCTTAGGCAGTGACTGGGGAGCTTGTACTCCATTCACCATCCCTTACAGAACAACTGCAAACACTGCACCATTTGTGAAGAGGAACGAGGCTGGTAAAGGGAATCAAGAGTGCTTTGCCAAACATGGCAACACGCGATTCCCATTGCACATCCACATGGAAACAGCAGGGAGACAGCCAATGCGACAGGATCTCCAAGGAAAGGTGGAGTAGAGATAAAAATGGGAAGGTCATTAGCACAGAGGTAGTATTTAAAGCCAACAGAGTAGATGAGATCACCCAGAGCAGTTTTTCAAACTGCAGGCTGTGAAATCAATTTAGTGGGTCATGAACAGCACTTAAAAAAAAAATGAAATAGAGCAGAATGGAAAATAACAGAGTCCACGGCTCATGAAGTATAAGAACCGTTTTGTGAAACTTTTGTTTCTGTTGTGTCTGTGTGCACAAGACGGTGTAGTGTGTTTGTACTTGTCCGGCATTTGGTATGGCTGAACAAAAAGATTTAAAACCACTGGTCTAGAGGCTAACTTGGAGTGACTGATCCCTGCAATCACTCTATCATTTAGAAGGTGGAGAAGAGGAAAAGAAGCCAGAAAAGGAGAGTGAAGAAGTAGGAAGGAGGAAAGGCAGTGGGGGGGTCCCAAGCAAATGTGACATGTTGGACATCCAACGTGCTGGTGAGAGTCATGCAGTATGATCACAGCAGAGATGTCCATAATTATGGAATGGCAAGGTAAGCACACAGCTGTGGGAGCAGAGGGGCACCTAACCTGTTTAAACTTAGCACAGAATAAAAAAGGGAAGGAGAGAGGTGATATTAGGATTTTATTTGAGATCTAAGTTTAAGGGAACGGCAGGATATCCAGTCTGTAACTTCCATAAACAGCAAATATCCAATCATTCTTTTATTGTTGTTTTTAAGCATCTACTATGTGCTGGGCTGTTTACTAGACCTGGGAAAATAACTAGGACACTGTTCTATCCTGAAAAGCCTCAAACTGCAAGAGAGTAACGCAGGTACAGTACAGTGAAGAGAGAGGGTCAGAAGATAGGGTGCGTAACAACAGGTTTGTTGAAGGCCACGGCAATTTTCCTTTCCAACCATACTGCTCACTATTGGCCAAACCCACCACTCCACACAGACCATGCGCTCCGACCTCTTGATTTGTGCTTGGCCTCTCCCCAAAACACTTTCCAAATCTGAGTCATTCCTCAAGGCCATTTGGCTTCCTCACTGAAGGCTTCAGGAAAACGGCTCAGCTTGGTGATCTTGCCTTCCCCAAACAGCTACAGCACTTCTTGTCCATACACCATTACCTGGTGGCTGTGTCCTTATTTCCCCACTTGGTATGAATGCCTTATCTCCCCAGCTGAGCCATGTATTGTTGAAGGCATGTAACAAACATGTCTCACATCTACAAGGTCCTCAAACAGCAGCCAAGCAAACACTTGTTGCTCTGCTACTAGACTTCCCTCCAATCCAGCTTGCATTTCAGCATCTTACTGAAAAAGATCTGATTAATTCACCCCCTATTTTAAAACCTTCACTGGCTCCCAATTATTAGTACAGCACATGCAGACTTGTCTTCCAGGTGTACCACACAGCTTTCCCTTCCCTGCCTCCCAAACACCTTAAAGTTGAAGCAACAGCAATAAAAATAGTCACGTGCTACATAACACATTTCTGTCAACAATGACCACGTACACAATGGTGGTCCCATCAGAGTACAATGGAGCTGAAAAACTCCTATTGCCTGGTGATGCTGTAGCTGTCATAATGCAACATATTACCTCCTTGTTTATGGTCATGCAAGTGTAAACCTAATATACTGCCAGTGGTATAAAAGCATAGCACATACAACTATGTACAGTACATAATACTTGAAAATAAACTATGTTACTGGTTTACATATCCTATGTAGAATTCTATGTTATGTATACTATGTATTCTACTTATAAAAATAGTTAACTAAAGCTGGGTGTGGGAGCATGTGCCTATAAGTCCTAGCTACTCAGGAGGCTGAGGCAGAGAATCGCTTGAACCTGGGAGGTGGAGGTTGCAGTGAGCCGAGATCATGCCACTGCACTCCAGTCTGGGCGACAGAGAGAGACTGTCTCAAAAAAAAAAACCAAAGCAAACAAACAAAAGACACTGTTATCATAGGAGATGATAGCTCCATGTGTGTTACTGACCCTAAAGACCTTCCAGTGGGCCAAGATGTGAAGCTGGAAGACAGTGATATTGATTATTCTGACCCTGTGTAGGTTTAGGCTAATGCATGTGTTTGTGTCTTAGTTTTTAACAAAAGTGTTTAAAAAGTGAAAAAATAAAAAATAAAAAATATTTAAATATGGCTCGGTGAGGTGGCTCACGTCTGTAATCCCAGTACTTTGGAAGGCCAAGGTGGGTGGATCACATGGGGTCTGGAATTCCAGACCAGCCTGGCCAACACGGTGAAACCCCGTCTCTACTAAAAAAAACACAAAAATTAGCCAGGTGTAATGGCGTGTGCCTGTAGTACCAACTACTTGGGAGGCTAAGGCAGGAGAATCGCTTGAACTCGCGACATGGAGGCTGCAGTGAGCTGAGACCGCACCATTCCACTCCAACCTGGGCGACACAGCAAGACTCTGTCTCAAATAATGATAATAAATAGAAAAAAAAGCTTATAAAGTGGCTAGGCCTGGTGGCTCACACCTACAATTCCAGAACTTTTGGGAGGCAGAGGAGAAAGGATTGCTTGATGCCAGGAGTTTGAGACCAGCCTGGGCAACATAGCATGACTCCAGCTCTATAAAAACTAAAAAAACGTAGCCAAGCACGGTGGTATGCACCTGTAGTCCTAGCTACTCAGGAGGCTTAAGTGAGGGTTGCTTGAGCCCAGGAGTTTGAGGTTACAGGGAGCTATGACTGTGCCACTGCACTCCAGCCTGGAACAGAGTAAGACCTTATCTCTAAGAGTAATTAATAATAATCATAAAAAAGTTTATAGAATAACACAATGACAGAAAATATTTTTGAACAGCTGCACAATGTATTTGTGGTTTAAGCTAAGTGTTATTACAAGAGTCAAAAGGTTACAAATTTTTAAAGTTTTTAAAGTAAAAAAGTTACAGTAATCTGGCCAGGGACTGGTGGCTCATGCCTGTAATCCCAGCATTTTGAGAGGCCCAGGCGGGTGGATCACAAGGTCAGCAGATCAAGACCATCCTGGCTAATACGGTGAAACCCCGTCTCTACTAAAAATACAAAAAATTAGCCAGGTGTGGTGGCGGGCACCTGTAGTCCCAGCTACTCGAGAGGCTGAGGCAGAAGAATGACGTGAACCCGGGAGGCGGAGCTTGCAGTGAGCCAAGATCAAGCCACCGCACTCCAGCCTGGGCGACAGAGAGAGACTCCGTCTCAAAAAAAAAAAAAAAAGTTACAGTAATCTAAGGTTAATAATATCAAAACAAGAAAACTTTAAAAAATAAATTTAGTGTAGTCCAAATGTACAGTGTTTATACATCTACAGTAGTGTGCAGTAACGTCCTGGGCCTTTACCTTCATTCACCATTCACTCACTGACTCACCCAGAACAACTTCCTTATCTTTTATACCTTATTTTTACTGTACCTTCTCTATGTTTAGACATATGCAGATACATACTTACCACTCTTTTACAATCTCCTACAGCATTCAGTACAGTAACATGCGGTACAGGTTTGTATCCTAGGAGCAATAGGCTATACCACATAGCCTAGATGGGCAGTCGGCTACACCCAGGCTAGGTGTGTGTAAGTACATCCTAAGATGTTAGAACAACGACAAAAATCACTCAATGATGCACTTCTTAGAAATATTCTGTTGTTAACTGAGGCATGATTGTACCAAAACAAAAAAAAAACAACGTACCACCAGCACCAAAGGTGCCAGAGATGAAAATTAGAAAGACGACTGATATTCATTCAACTGCTGACAACAGATGTTTTGGGGGTGGGATTACAGGGCATAGTCATCTTTCAGCAACTAGTTCGATCGGCCGGGCGCAGTGGCTCACGCCCGTAATCCCAGCACTTTGGGAGGTCGAGGCGGGCGGATCACGAGGTCAGGAGATCGAGACCATCCTGTCTAACACGGTGAAACCCCATCTCTACTAAAAAAAATACAAAAAAATTAGCACGGCGTGGTGGCGGGCACCTGTGGTCCCAGCAACCCGGGAGGCGGAGCTTGCAGTGAGCCTAGATCGTGCCACTGCGCTCCAGCCTGGGCAACAGAGCAAGACTCCGTCTCCAAAAAGAAAAAAAAAAAAAAAAAACTAGTTTGACCAACATGCTAATTTTAAAACAAATAAAATTTAAAAGAAAACAATAATTGCAACTACTTTTATTGAGTGTTTAAATTATGTGCAATGCAATATTTTTTGTTTGTTTTGAGACAGAGTCTCCCTCTGTCGTCCAGGCTGGAGTGCACTGGTGCAATCTCGGCTCAGTGCAACCTCTGCCTCCCTGGTTCAAGCAATTCTCCTGCCTCAGTCTCCCAAGTAGCTGAGATTACAGGCTTGTGCCACAATACCCGGCTAATTTTTGTATTTTTAGTAGAGGCGAGGTTTTAACCATGTTGGCCAGACTGGTCTCGGACTCCTGACCTGAAGTCATCCACCTGCCTCGGCCTCCCAAAGTGCTAGGATTACAGGTGTGAGCCATCACACCCAGCTGCAATGCAATATATTATAGTCTCATTTAATCTTAACTCTATTATGCAGTAACTAGCCATTCTGCAGATGAGGAAACAAAGGCTCAGAAAGTTTAGTAACTCTCATAAGGTTATACAGCCAGTCAGTGAGGAAGACAGGCTGGGACTAACAAGGAATGTGCCCTAACTTCTACTGTTCTTAGCAATGTTCTGTGTATTCCCAGCACACCCAGCAGGCACCTTCTGCACCTTTTCGTTTGTTCAGCCTGGTCCTTCTGCGTGAATAATACCAGCTTTGCTGACATACCACTCACCTTTCAAGTCCAGTGCAAATCGCACTTTTCCCTTAACACCTTCCTAGAACACAAGCCATGATAAGCATTACCAGAGTTATCTACCCTTCTATTTCCCCCACAGCGTGGGACCTTAGTTCTCTTACTGCCACGCACAGAGCAAGCAATCGAACACTGGGTGAATTAAGTTGACAATATAAATTCTCTTTCTGACAAATGTAAAGGTAACAGATGAAGACCAAAAGTTTTAATCTGTGAGGAAAATTAATACCAAGAAAGGGTTTCCATAATCCCTACCTGCATTCTCTGCTCTGAACCTCACCTCTCACTGAGGCATAAGGAAAGGCAGGTTAATTTTCACCTCTTCCAAAAAGTGGCTTTACATAATAAATCCCACTTCTGAAGAATAAAAGCTACCTAACTTGTTATTAAAAATGTAAGCAATGAGAATAAAAAGGTTTCTTTAGAGTTTTTAAAATTACTTTCAATGCCTCTAGCCCTTGAAAGAAAGCACTTAAGTTTAGTACAAACAAAATGTAAAAACATGAAAACTTACTTTCCCTATACATAAACATGGAGACACAAAACCAGTGAAACAGACACGTTTAAAATTCAAAATGCTCTTAACTGACCACATCCTAATTTACGAGCAGAAGTCGAGTCCAAACAAAAACACACTGTAAAACAAAAGTGCTGGCTAACAACCTTAGAAAGAAAATATAGGAGGGGACAAACAGATTTTAATGTGTCCTTGGCCTTCCTGAGCAAAGCAATGAGAAATGCAGTCAACCAAAGCATTTAGACTTGATTTTACTGGACGTACCAACACCATAGGTCAACCTGTCAAATGAAGCAAAAAGCAGAACCGAGTTCTATGGGTTTAGTCCCCTCCAGATAAAAGCCAATGAACCTTTTTACAGTTTATGGGGTCCTCTCCATATGGCTGGGGATGCAGGCATGGGAGGAATATTGTCTGGACGATTAATTCCTGTGAAATGAACACAGGAGTTAGGAGGAGCGGAGGTGAGTCAACACACTCTACACTTCCACGGTTGCCTCAAACTCACCACAATTCCAAAATACCAAGAAACAATGTGCTAGTTCTTGCTTTTTTTAAGTGTCCATAAGCTAAAAGTCCTTCTGAAGATTGAGCGTCCCACTTAAAAGCCCAAACCAAAAAATAGTTTGCAGGATTATTTCAAATATATTAAAAACATCAAAATGCTAACTCCAAACTAAGGTGAAATAGTTACATCTAAGTATCCAAGAAGAGCATCAAGAATTAGCAAATTAATTTAGGGTCAGAAAACCTAATAATTAGGGTCAGAAGAACAAAAAGATCATTTCGGTAGCATAAGAACTTTGTGCCGGGTGCAGTGGCTCACGCCTGTAAATCCCAGAACTTTTGGAGGGCAGGGCAGGCGGATCACGAGGTCAGGAGTTCAAGACAAGCCTGGCCAACATGGTGAAACCCCACCTCTACTAAAAAAAATACAAGAATTAGCCAGGCATAGTGGCGCATGCCTGTAGTCCCACATACTCGGGAGGCTGAGGCAGGAGAATTGCTTGAGCCCAGGAGACAGAAGTTGCAGTGAGCCGAGATCGTGCCACTGCACTCCAGTCTGGCCAACAGAATGAGACTCTGTCTCAAAAAAAAAAAAAAAAAAGAACTTTGTAAATGTCTGTCGCTCTAGACCTTATTTTAGGGTGCAAGCCATAACTATGATAAGGAGGGTGCCATGTATAAATGTAACAGACACTGAGACAAAAGAAAACTACTCCTGACAGCAGTTTGCTGTCTTTCCCAAGAGATTTGAGGAACAGTAACCATAAAACTTTCCTCCTCCCTTCTCAACTGGGGACTTCTCTGATGTAATATCAGGGAGAAGAACAAGGGAACATTGGGTATCAACTGGTGCACACCATCTCTCTCCTGAAGTGACAGAAAGAACATTGAGTAGTACTATCTTACCTAGAGTCAAACTAAATGACTTGAACAAAGAGACCAAGAAAAACATGTTTAGAAAATCATCTAGAAATAGGATTTTATTTTAGTAAGCGAAGTGAACAAAAAATACAATTTTATTTGTACATACAATTGCTTCCACTATTAAATTTGTTTTCTATTGATTCTTCTGGGTCATCTGTTGGAAAAAGTACTACATTTAGAATTAAGAAATCTAAATACTTCCTAGTCTTGCCACTTGTTCTGTGACTTGGGCAAGTTATTTAACCCATATGTCTCACATTCTTCACCTGCAAAAGTGGAGTTAACCTACCTTGCCACCACACGGGAATGTCCCACAGTAAGTCTGCAAACAGCTAAGTACCATATAAATCAAAATTATCACTGTTAGAATTACCACCCTCTTTCCCTCTCTCAGGTAAAAACTTGAACCAATAATAAAATAAGTAAAAGACACCAGACATGGTGGCTCACGCCTATAATCCCAGCACTTTGGGAGGCCGAGGCAGGCAGATCACTTGAGGTCAGGAGTTCAAGATCAGCCTGGCCAACATGGTGAAACCCTGTCTCTACCAAAAATACAAAAATTAGCTGGGCATGGTGGCAGGCACCTGTAATCCGAGAATCACTTGCTTGTACACCCAGGAAGCAGAGGTTGCAGTGAGCCGAGATCTCACCACTGCACACTCCAGCCTGGGTGACAGTGAGATTCCACTTCAAAAAAACAAACAAAAACAAAAACAAAAAAACAAGTAAAAGACAACAAGGAAAAAAATGGAAAAGAGGTTATCAAACAAACAAAATAAACCCTAAAAAACACAATAAATAACTACTGATTGGTGTAACAGCACTCTGTGACAGGTAATTTTTGTCATTCTCGAGTTAGGAAAGATCCCACACCCTGGGATCTACAGTCCATTCATAGAAATCACAGCAGGGTTAAATCCTCATCAATCCTCTAATTCACAATGAAGAATGCCGACGGAGCGCATTCTTAATCTATATGGCAAGAACTACAAGCCACAGGACCAATCCCCACCCTCCCCACAGAGGGACAGTGGCCTGACAGTTGGAGCTCTACTTGGAGGCAGATGGCCTCTAAAGTGCAAGAGTTTTCCCTTCTTCCCTGACCACTGGCATGCAATTAGCAAACACCCTAACCCCAGTCATTCTGAAATAAGCCAATGGAGAGTCACCTGCAATCCTAAATTTTGAAAATAAAAAAGTCAAAGAGACACAAACATTCTATGAAAAATCAGCCACAAGCATAACATTGCAGGTATTGTGGGTCTGGTTCCAGACCGTGGCAATAAAGCGAGTCACACAAATTTTCTGGTTTTCCAGCACATATTAACTTTTATATGTGTACGCTATACTTCAGTCTACTAAGTGTGAAATGGTATTATGTCTAAAAGACAATGTTCATACCTTAATTTAAAAAATACTTTATCGTTAAAAAATGCTAACAATCATCTGAGCCTTCAGGGAGTCCTAATCTTTTTGCTGACGGAGGGTCTTGCCTCCATGTTGATGGCTGCTGACTAATTAGGGTGGTGGTTGCTGAAGGCTGAGGTGGCTGTGGCAAATTTCTTCAAATAACACACCCATGAAGTCTGACGCATCGACTGGCTCTTCCTTTTCTAAGAGATTTTTCTATAGCATGCCAAACTGTTTGATAGCATTTTACCCACAGTGGAACTTCTTTCAAAACTGCAGTCAGTTCTCTTCAACCCCGCCACTGCTTAATCAACTACGTTTATGTAATATTCTAAATCTTTCATTGGCATTTCAACAATGTTCACAGCATCTTCATCAGGAGTAGATTCCATCTCAATAAATCACTTTCTTTGCTCATCCATAAGCAGCAACTCCTCATCTGTTCAAGTTTTATCATGAGATTACAGCAATCCAGTCACATCTCCAGGCTCCACTTTTAATTCGAGTTCTCTTGCTATTTCTACCACATCTGCAGTTCCTGCCTCCACTGAAGTCCTGAACCCCTCAAAGTCATCCATGAGGGCTGGAATCATCTTCCAAACTCCTGTTCATGTACTGACCTCCTCCCATGAATCACAAATGTTCTTAATGGCATTTAGAATGGTAAATCCTTTCCGAAAGGTTTTCAATTCACTCTGCCCAGACCCACTAGAGGAATTATTATGTATAGCAGCTAGAGCCTTATGAAACATATTTCTTAAATAAGACTTGAAAATCAAAATGATTCCTTGATCCAGGGGCTGCAGAATAGATGTTGTGTTAGCAAGCATGAAAACAACATTTATCTCCTTATACATTTCCATCAGAGCTCTTAGGTGACCAGGTATACTGTCAAGAAGTAATATTCTGAAAGAAATCTTTTGAGTAGTAGGTCTCAACAGTGGCCTTAAAATATTCATTAAACCATTCTGTAAACAGATGTGCTGTCATCTAGGTTTTGTTGATCCACTGACAGAGCACAGGCAGAGTAGATTTAGCATAAATTTATGGGCCCTAGAATTATTAGAATGGTAAATGAGCACTGGCATCAACCTAAATTCACCAGCTACACCAGCTCCTAATAACAGTCAGCCTGTCTTTTGAAGCCAGGCACTGACTTCTCCTAATTATGGAAGTCCTAGATGGCATCTTTTCTGACATAAGGCTACACTGAATATCTGTTCAATATAGCCACCTTCATCAGTGATCTTGGCTACATCTTCTAGATAACTTGCTGCAGCTTCTACATTAGCACTTGCTTCAACTTGCATTTTAATGTTACAGAGATGGTTTCAAGAACTTTAGGAACCAATCTGTGCTAGCTTCAAACTTCACTTCTGCAGCTTCTTACTTTTTTCAGCCTTCACAGAAGTGAAAAGAGAAAGTCTTGCTCTGGGATTAGGCTCTGGCTTAAGGGAATGTTGCGGCTGGTTGATTTTCCATCTGAGTCACTAAAACTTTTCCATATCAGCAATAAGCTGTTTCGTTTTCTTCTCATTCATGTGTTCACTGGAGTTGTACTTTTAACTTTCTTCAAGAACCTTTTCTTGCATTCATAACTTGGCCACGTTTGGTGCAATAGGCCTAGTATTCAGCCTATCTTGGCTTTTGACATGCCTTCCTCACTAAACCATCATTTCTAGCTTCTGATTTAAAAGTGAGAGATGTGCAATTCTTCCTGTCACTTGAACATTTAATGGTCATGATCAGGTTATTAACTGACCTAACTTCAATACTGTTGTGTCTGAGGTAACAGAGAGACCTGAGGAGGTGGTGAGATGGGGGGACACCCAGTTGGCAGCAGTCTGAACACACATCTATACACAACATGTATATATTAAGTTCGCCGTCTTATATGGGAGTGCTTTGTGGCGCTCCAAAACAATTACAAAAGTAACATCAGGCCGGGCGCGGTGGCTCACGCCTGTAATCCCAGCACTTTGGGAGGCCGAGGTGGGTGGATCATGAGGTCAGGAGATTGAGACCAACCTGGCTAACACGGTGAAACCCTGTCTCTACTAAAAATACAAAAAAATTAGCCAGGTGTGATGGCGGGCACCTGTAGTCCCAGCTACTCGGGAGGCTGACGCAGGAGAATGGCGTGAACGCGGCAGGCAGAGCTTGCAGTGAGCCGAAATCGCACCACTGCACTCCAGCCTGGGCGACAGAGCGAGACTCCATCTCAAAAAAGAAAAAAAAAAGTAACATCGATGATCACTGATCACAGATCTTCATGACAGATAACAATTTTAAAAGTTTAAGGCTGGGCGCGGTGGCTCATGCCTGTAATCCCAGCACTTTGGGAGGCCGAAGCGGGTGGATCATCTGAGAACAGGAGTTCGAGACCAGCCTAGCCAATACGGAGAAACCCCGTCTCTACTAAAAATACAAAATTAGCAGGGCGTGATGGCGCATGCCTGTAATCCCAGCTACTCGGGAGGCTAAGGCAGGAGAATCACTTGAACCCCGGAGGCGGAGATTGCAGTGAGCCAAAATCACGCCATTGCACTCCAGCCTGGGGAACAAGAGTGAAAATCTCTCTCAGAAAAAAAAAAAAAAGTTTAAAATATTCAGGCCAGGTGTGGTGGCTCATGCCTGTAATCCCAGCACTTTGGGAGGCTGAGGCAGGCAGATCACTTCAGGTTAGGAGTTCCAGACCAGTCTGGCCAACACAGTGAAACCCCACCTCTACTAAAAATAAAAATATTAGCCGGGCATGGTGGTGCACACCTGTAATCCCAGCTACTCACGAGGCTGAGGGGGAGAATCGCTAGAACCCAGGAGGTGGAGGTTGTAGTGAGCCGAGATGGCGCCACTTCACTCCAGTGCAGCTCTGGGAGACAGAGCGAGACTCCGACTCAAAAATAAATAAAATAAAATGAATAAAATGTTTAAAATATTGGGAGAATTACCAAAATGTGGCACAAAGACACAAAGTGAGCACATGCTGTTGAAAAATTGGCACCAACAGACTTAGACTTGCTCAATGCAGGGTTGCAATAAACCTTCAATTTATAAAACAAAAAAATCCCACAATATCTGTGAAGTACAATAAAGTAGAATGCAATAAAATGAGGTATCCCTGTATTTCCAAAGCTTCTAGGTGGTAATAATAATAGCTAAAATTTATCTAATCATTACTGTAAGTCTGGCAATGTTCTAAAAGCTTTAGTTATGAACTAATTTAACTGGCACAGCCACCCACGAGGTAGGTACAATTATTATTTCCATTTTCTAGACAACGAAACAGAGGCAGAATAGTCATTTGCTTGACGTCACATTGCAAACAAGGGGCAGAGCTGGGATTCAAAAATCAGGCGACTGGCTGCAGAGATCATGCTCTAGATAGTGAGTCTTAAAGCACCCACCAACCAATACCACCTGGTTTACCCAAACAATTCAGGCATCTTAACAGTGTCACACAGAGACATAAACAATAATACAGTATAATAGTATCACTCACCATATGGTCACTTGTTTCAAGGTTAATGTTAGAATAACATGAGTCCATGAAAATAAGACCTTGTTTTCTGTTTACAGTAATACAGACTAAATAACTGCACAAAAAACTGGATACAATATATATACATCTTTCCAAAAGTAACAAAAATCTAACAAGATAGTGAGATATTACCAAATTAATATCCTGAAAAAGATGGAAATCCAAAGAAAGAGGCAAGACCTGGGGGCATTTGTTGATTTGCCAGTGGAGGCCCAGAAAGTGCCTGGCTCACTCCAAGGCCTTGCACAGGAGATAACTTATAACTCATAACTCAGTAACGCGCTCCTCACCCCAGCGAACCTGTGAACTGAGGCCCCATAGGGCTGCATCCTAGGAGTAAGACTGAAGTAGAAGTAAATAAGCCCTCCCATGGACTCAGCTTCAAACCATCTGGATAGTCCATAAAAAACTCAAATCTTCAACTTTTTTTTTTTTCTGAGACAGAGTCTTGCTCTGTCCCCCCCAGGCTGGAGTGCAGTGGCGCCATCTCAGTTCACTGCGACCTCCGCCTCCCGGGTTCATACGACTCTCCTGCCTCAGCCTCCCAAGTAGCTGGGATTACAAGCACCCGCCATCACGCCCGGCTAATTTCTGTATTTTTAGTAAGGAGGGGGTTTCACCATGTTGGCCAGGCTGGTCTCGAACTCCTGACCTCAGCTGATCTGCCTGCCTCAGTCTCCCAAAGTGCTCTGGGATTACAGGCCTTAGCCAGCGCGCCTGGGCTTCAACTTGTATTAAAATGATCCTCGTTGGCTAGTGCCGTCAGTCACCTGGAAAAAGACATCACACCCAAAGCCTCTAATTATTTCTATAAACAATTTTTCAAATACCATGTCCAGCACACAAACATATGAACAAAGTACCATGAGTAAGAACCATGAGAGGCAGTTATAGATCCAAAGGAACTCCAAATACTGGAGATATCAGGAGACTATAAAAGAATTATATTTAGTATGTTCTAGGAAATAAAAGCGAAGTTTGAAAAATTTAGCAGGGAACAGGAATCCATAAAAAACAATGTAGCAGACTTGAAAAGAATCACAACTGAAAAATACAGTAAGATATTGGTAAGAACTATCCATTGAGTTATTAAATTAAAAGCAGATTAATCGGCTGGCGCGGTGGCTCATACTTGTAATTCCAGCACTTTGGGAGGCTGGGGCAGGTGGCTCACTTGAGGCCAGGAGTTGAAGACCAGCTTGGCCATCATGGTGAAACTCCATCTCTACTAAAAGTACAAAAATTGGCCAGGTGTAGGGGCACACACCTGTGGTCCCAGCTACTCGAGAGGTTAAGGCACAAGAACTGCTTGAACCCAGGAGGCAGAGGGTGCAGTGAGAGCCAAGATCGTGCCACTGCACTGCACCCCAGCCTGGGCGAAAGAGTGAGACTCTTGTCTCAAAAAAACGCAGATTAGTCAAAGAGAAGACTGATTAACTGAAAACAGGTCAAAGTAATCTACCCAGAATGAAAAATAGAAAAGAAAAAAAACACTTGTAATGGATGCCATTTAATCCCAGCACTTTAGGAGGCTTAGGCGGGCAGATCAGGAAGTCAGGAGATCGAGACCATCCTGGCTAACACAGTGAAACCCCGTGTCTACTAAAAATACAAAAAATTAGCCAGGCGTGGTAATAAGTGCCTGTAAGTCCCAGCTACTCGGGAGGCCGAGGCAGAAGAATCACTTGAACCCAGGAGGCGGAGGTTGCAGTGAGCCGAAATCGCACCACCGCACTCCAGCCTGGGCGACAGAGCGAGACTTCGCCTCAAAAAAAAAAAAAAAAAAAAAACAGAAAAGAAAGGGTGACTACAAGGTTGAATGTATCCCTGTATGGGTGGACTCTTAGAATGAGAAGGGAATGGAGGCAAGGCAGTAAGTGAGGAGAAGTATTGGGAATTTTCCAGAACAAATAAGAGATATCACCAAAGAATCAAGAATCTTGGTGAATACAAAACAGATGGTCTCTATTATCTAGAATGTCTTCCAAAAATAACATGAACCTGTTCTGTAAGTATAGTACCACCACAATTAAATATCTATTGTGGTCATATTAGGGGTTATCATAGGGTATACTATATAGACGAACTTACAACACTCTCAGCACGTGAGGAGCTCAAAGTCAAGGATTTAGAAGAGGTATTTTCAACTGTGAAGATCTCTCTACCCGGCCAGGCGAGGTGGCTCACACCTATAATCCCAGCACTTTGGGAGGCTGAGGCACGCGGATCACCTGAGGTCAGGAGTTCAAGACCAGCCTGGCCAACATGGTGAAACCCCATCTCTACTAAAAATACAAAACTTGGCCAAGGGTGGTGGTGGGCACCTGTAATCCCAGCTACACGGGAGACTGAGGCAGGAGAATCACTTGAACCCAGGAGGCAGAGGTTGCAGTGAGTGGAGATCGCACCACTGCACTTCAGCTTGGGTGACAGAGCAAGACTCTGTCTCAAAAAAAGAAAAAAGACATGCAGGAACCTTAAATGATTATTGCTAAGTGAAAGACATGAATCTGAAGTGGCTACATGACTTTAGCTATATAATATTCTGGAAAACACCAAACTGTAAAGTCAGTAGGAAGATCAATGATTACCAAGGATCCAAGGGAAGAGGGGGAAGGATGAATACGGAGAGAGTACAGGTGACTCCTGGGATAGTGAAACAATTCTGTATAATACTGTATTAGCAGATGTAAGACATTATGCATTTGTCCAAACCCACAGAATATACAACAAAGAATGAACTCAAGTCAGTTGCTGTGGCTAGCACCTGTAATCTCACCTGAGTCCAGCAGCTCAAGGTTACTGCGAGCTATGATTGTACCACTGCACTGGCTGGCAGAGCAAGACACTGTCTCAAAAAAAAAAAAAAAAAAAAAAAAAAAAAAAAAAAGTCAGGCATGATGGCTCACGCCTGTAATCCCAGCACTTTGGGAGGCTGAGGTGGACTGATCACTTGACGTCAGAAATTTGAGACCAGCCTGGCCAACACGGTGAAACCCTGTCTCTACTAAAAATATAAAAATTAGCAGGCATGGTGGTGGGTGCCTGTAATCCCAGCTACTCAGAAGGCTGAGGCAGGAGAATCGCTTGAACCCTGGAGGTGGAGGTTGCAGTGAGCTGAGATCACACCACTGCACTCCAGCCTGGGCAACAGAGCAAGACTCCCTCTCAAAAACAAACAAAAAAAGGTCAAATATGAACTGGACTGGAGTTAATAATAAAATATCAATACTGTATATCAAGTGTAGCAAATGCACCACACTAATATGAGATATTAGTAATAGTGGAACCTATGGTTGGATTGAGGGAGGGTAAACAGGAACTCTCTTATTGCTCATTTTTTCTGTAAACCTAAAACTGCTCTAAGCAATAAAGTCTACTAACATTTCTCTTAAAAAGTTAATGTATCAGGAAAAATGAACCACAATGACACAGCACTTCATACCCATAGGTATGGCTATAGGAAAGAAAACAAAAAATTACAAGTGTTGGTGATGATGTGGAGAGACTGGAACCCTCACATATTGCTGGTGGGGGCCAGGCACACTGGATCACTTGAAGCCAGGAGTTAGGAGACCAGCCTGGCCAACCATGGTGAGACCCTGTCTATAAAAATACAAAAATTAGACAGGTATGGTGGCACATACCTGTAATCCCAGCTATTTGGGAGGCTGAAGCAAGAGAATCACTCGAGCCCAGTGAGTGAAGCCTGTAGTGATCCACGATCATGCCACTGCCCTCCAGCCTGGGCCACACATGGGAATATAAAATATTCAGCCACTGTGAAAAAGTCTGGTGGTTCTTCAAAAAGTTGAATACAGAATTACACGATCCAGCAACTCCATTCCTAGGTATATACTCAAAATAAGTGAAAACAGGTATCCAAACAAATAGATATACACACATGTTCATAGCAGCACTATTCAAAATAGCCAAAAGGTGGAAACAACCGAAATGTCCATCAACAGATGAACGGATGAACAGATTGTGGTATATACATAAAACTGAGTATGTATTCAGCCATGAAAAGGAATGAAGTACTCATACACAATACAATGTAGATAAATCTCAAAACACTACGCGCTAAGTGAAAGAAGTCAGACATGAAAGGTCACATATTGTACGATTCCATCTAATGAAATATCCAAAAGAAGTAAATCTAAAAACACAAAGCAGATCGGTGGTTGCAAAGGACTGGCAGAAGAGGGCAAGGGGAGTAACTGCTTAATGGGTAGCAGGTTTACTTTGGGACTAGATACAGGTTGTTATGGGTGCACACATTGTGAATGCAGCAAACGCCACTCGAGTGTTCGCTTAAAAATGATTAATTTTGTCACGTGAATTTCATATCAATTTAAAAAAATCTGGCTGGGCGCAGTGGCTCACACCTGTAATCCCAACACTTTGGGAGGCTGAGGCAGGAGGATCACTTGAGTTCAGGAGTTCAAGACCAGCCTGGACAACATGGCGAAACCCCATCTCTACAAAAAAAAATACCAAAATCAGCTGGGCATGGTGGTGCGCACCTGTAATCCTAGCTACTGGGGTGGTTGAGGCACAAGATTTGCTTCAGCCTGGGAGGCGGAGATTGCAGTGAGCCGTGATCATGCCACTGCACTCCAGCCTGGGCAACAGAGCCGGATCCTGTCTCAGAAGAGAAAAAGAAAAAGAAAAAAAATCTCTAAAAAGGTGTAACTGAGAAGAACCTAGGACATGCAAGAGCAAGTAATTCATTACATAGTCTTCCCCTTTAGTTATCTCCCTTACTCCTTTTTTTCTCTTTGTAGCTGGGACTACAGGCATGCACCACTATGCCCGGCTATTTTTAATTTTGTAGAGACGAGGTCTCACTATGCTGCCCAGGCTGGTCTCCAACACCTGGGTTCAAGTGATCCTCCCACCTAGCATCCCATTGTAGGCGTCAACTACTGTGTCCAGCCTCCTTTACTCCTGTCTCATTCCCATGGCTACTCATCTCGGCCCTGCAAAAACATGAAACGTGGAAGAACAAGATGCTATCCGGGAGGTTTCTAACACTAAATTAAATATTGTTTCTTTGAACACTGACCTACTTCTCCCTTAAGAACTGAGTCCTAGTACTAAAAACTAACCTTTCACCATCATCTTCCTAAAATATTGTGATACCTTCTGCAATGCCCTTTTAAGGGGGTCAAGACAATTCATGTATTCACCCTAAGACAGCTTCCTCCAGCGCGATGTCAACCTTTCTGCCCACCTGCTCAGGACCTCAATTTTGCTAAGATCACTAGCTCTTACTAAGCTTTGGTAGAA
This sequence comes from Homo sapiens, assembly GCF_000001405.40. Classification (NCBI taxonomy): domain Eukaryota; kingdom Metazoa; phylum Chordata; class Mammalia; order Primates; family Hominidae; genus Homo; species Homo sapiens. The sequence goes on from NW_003315971.2 coordinate 155,972, forward strand.
TTAACCAATGTTTTCTAGCGCCTTTCCCTCTCTATGGCCAATTTTATTTTTAAATTTTATTTATGTATTTTTTGGAGAGAAGGTCTCACTACGTTGCCCAGACTGGTCTCCAACTCCTCGCCTCAAGCAATCCTCCCACCTCAGCCCCTGAATAGATGGAATTACAGGCATGAGCCACCACAGCCAGCTCTATGGTCAAATTTTTACAACGTATTATCAATGATCTAGTTGTCTGTTTCCCACACAATACTGTTGAACACCCTGAGGACAAGTACTAGGACTCATCCCCAAACTCTGAAAAATGGTGCTTCTCAGTCGTTTCCCCATTTGGTTTCTTTTCTTCTACTCTAAAATACTAGACCCAATTTGCTTAATTCTTTTTCTTTTTTCTTTTTTTTCTGAGATGGAGTCTCACTCTGTCACCCAGGCTGGAGTGCACTGGTGTGATCTTGGCTCACTGCAACCTCCACCTACCAGGTTCAAGTGATTCTCTTACCTCAGCCTCCGTGTAGCTGGCGTTACAGGCGCATGCCACCACGCCCAGCTAACTTTCGTATTTTTGGTAGAGACAGGGTTTCGCCATGTTGGCCAGGCTGGTCTTAAACTCTTTACCTCACCTCAAGTGACCCATCCGCCTCGGCCTCCCAAAGTGCTGGGATACAGGCATGAGTCACCAGGCCTGGCCTCAATATACTTAATTCTTTACCTACATTGTTTCTCCTGGCTTCAAAAAGCTTCCTGACCACCAAAACTAATCCTTGGAAAAGGACAAGTCTTCCCTACACCAAAACTAAATACCATTGTTTGCCTTTTTCTCGTACGTGTTTTTCTCTACCTCTAAAATGATTGCTTGTTCATGTGTTCAATGCACCGTAGAGGATACGGCAAGTGCCAATACCATAATCTTGCCCTCAGGGAGGACTGGGGAAGGAGGGCAAGAACACATTTAGAAAGGTATAATAGGCTGGGCACGGTGGCTCACGCCTGTAATCCCAGCATTTTGGGAGGCTGAGGCAGGCAGATCACGAGGTCAGGAGTTTGAGACCAGCCTGGCCAACATGGTGAAACGCCATCTCTACCAAAAATACAAAAATTAGCCAGGCGTGGTGGCGGGTGCCTGTAATCCCAGCTACTTGGGAGGCTGATGCAGGAGAACTGCTTGAACCTGGGAAGCAGGGGTTGCAGTGAGCCGAGATTGCGCCACTGCACTCCAGCCTGGGGGACAGAGCAAGACTCTGTCTCAAAAAATTAAAAAAAAAAAAAAAAGGAAAAAAGAAAGGTATAATAAAAAGCAAAAAGCAAAGATTAACGGTGCACCAGAAAATTACAAACGTCATGAAGGAAACATCCAGTTAAGGGAATGTTAGATTTCATGGAGAAAAGTAACATTTGAGAAAGGCCTTGAAATATAACTATCTCAAAAGATGGAGAACAGGCTGCACGCGGTGGCTCATACCTGTGATCCCAGCACTTTGGGAGGCCGAGGCAGGTGGATCACCTGAGGTCAGGAGTTAGAGACCAGCCTGGTCAACATGGTGAAATCCCATCTCTACTAAAAATATAAGAATTTGCTTGGCGTGGTGGCAGGCGCCTGTAATCCCAGCTACTCAGGAGGCTGAGGCAGGAGAATGGCATGAACCCGGGAGGCGGAGCTTGCAGTGAGCCGAGATGGTGCCACTGCACTCCAGCCTGGGTGATAGAGCGAGACTCCATCTCAAAAAAAAAAAAAAAAAAGATAAGATGGAGAACAGAAAAGAGGACACGGACCCAGACCTGGAAATAAAGGCACCTCTGGGGACACCGAGCTGCAGCAGAGGATACAACTGGGGAAACCAGGAGATGTGGTTAGAGAGGCAGGGCAGGGTCCTACCATGGAACCCTGAAGACCAAGGCAAGGTGTCTAAATTTAACTCAGTACACAAATGAAAAGGATACGACAAGAGCTACCTTTCAGAAGATTTTCTGGCAGTAGTTGGGAAGACACTAGACCAGGGACTGGGGAAGAAAGGTTACTATTCACGAAGCTACAAGAGCTCAGGCAGGTCCAGCACCATGCTCATTTAAACCACTACCAATCTCTACTTCCACAAGCCTTGACCTGTCTCCTACTTGACTGGTTCCTCCGCATCTCTTCAAGACACCTCTCTTCAATTTCCTCACTTAAAATCACTAACTAGAAAGAAAAAATTAATAGTCTGTTCTACAGAAGTGACTTAAAAAGTGAATATTGTAGACTGATACAACCTTCTGGTTCATAGCCTTTACAACAAATATGTTGGCTCCTACTGTGTGTCAGGCACTACTCTAGGAAACATGGATGCAGACAGGGATGGAGTAGGCAAAGTTTCCATCCCATGGTGCTTACATTTTGTGAAGGAAACAGATACAAGACAAGACTGTCAGATAATTGCTGTGAAGGGAGAACAGGGCTGAGGGAGAGAGCACGTACTCATGTGGGCGCTGCCTGGGCTCAGGTGGGCAGGGAAAGCCTGTCAGTGTGGGGAGAAAGCAGCAGCCACATGGTGTACATTTTTACAAAGTATACATTTTACACTAAAAGGGAGAAACAGGTTTTGAAGCCACATAGAGTTGCATGCCAGCCCTGGCTCTATCACTTGGTGGCTGAGGAACCTCTTCCAAATGAATGAATCTCTCTTCAGTCTGTTTCTTTATCCCCGTTTTACAGATAAAATACTGACTTTATTGGGTTATTCTGAGAGAATTAAATAATGAATATAAAACGTGCACTGTGCCTGGTACTGGGTAAGGGATCTGTAAATATTAACTACTGATTTACTACATCAGTGATTAAATATACATAGAAATTATTTTGCTGCTATATCTAAACACTAGATTTAGCAAAAACTGTCTGCAATCAGTACCAATCATAATCCCAAATGCCATAATCCTGAATGTTAAAATCCCAAAAGACTAAAGTCTAAAAATCCCTAATGTTTAAAACCACAACCCCAAAAGATTAAAATCCCAAATGATGAAATCCCAAAAGCCGAATTTTGGGGCAGGGAATTTGCATAGTTTTGGTTGTACACAATAGTTACACCATGCTAGGTGGAACTATGACCTTGCTATTGTCATTATCTGGAAATTAAGTATGGTTTAAGGAGATGCCTATGGGTACCAAGTTGCCGAGGATAGATTTGTGGACTTAATTTTAGCTATCAACTTGACAGGAACACCTAGAAACCTGGTAAAGCACTGTGTTGTGTGTGTGTCTGTGAGGATGTTTTCAGAGATTAGTGTGCGAGTCTGAGTAGGCAAGGAGAGCCCTCTATGTTGGTGGGTATCATCCAATCAGCCAGGAGCCCAGGGAGTACACAGAAGGTGAATTGCTGAGAGCTAGAACAGACTTTTCTTCTGCTGCCTTGGACATCAGAACTCCAGGCTTGCCAGCCTTTGGACTCCAGGACTTAACCAGTGGCCCCCTGAATTCTGAGGCTTTTTGACCTTGGACCGAGAGATAACACCATTAGCTTCCCTGGTTCTGAGGCCTTTGGATTTGGACTGAGGTATGCTACTGGCATCCCAGGGTCTCAAGCCTGCAGATGATCTGTCATGGGACTTCTCAGCCACCATTAATCATATGAGCCAATTCCCCTAATAAATTCCCTCATATCTATACACATATCCTATTGGTTCTGTCTCCCTAGGGAACCCTGACTAATGCAGATTTGGTGTTGGGGAAGCTGAGTATCAGTTCTTCTTACTTTATTCTTTACAGCACAATTGAAGAGATCTGTGAAACTCTTCCCTCGCAAAAAGGCTCTGATAAGTGTACACGGCTACTTAATGGCGAAAGATAAAAGTTTAAAAGCTAATTATCACTGGTGCTGCAAAAGCAGAAATTGCAACGGCCAGGCAATAATCAGGCTTTCAAATAGACAGTATATACTTACAAAATTTGTGGATCACAACCACTTTGCAAATAAAACTGGAGCAAGTGCTTTGAAGATCGCAGAAGTGAAAATACAGGCAAAAAATACAAGAAATCTCCCCTGCCAAATTATTCAATGGTGTATTATTTCTGCTCCTTCACACATAGTGCCAATTTGCTATGCTATATATTTTATCTTCACATCATTTCTAATACTGGAGATATAAATTGTGTAGAGACTTTTGGAGAGTTCTAATTAATTCTATGCATTTTTTTTTTGCAAACTGAACTCCACAGAAGTGCATTATCACAACACTGACTTCATGTGTAAGCTCTGGCTGTGTTCATCAAAACGTAGAAGCCAGGTGTGGTGGAGCACCTGTAGTCAGTCCCGGCTACTAGGGAGGCTGAGGTAGGAGGATCACTTGAGGCCAGGAGTTTGAGGCTGAAGTGCACTATGATCATGCCTGTGAATAGTCACTGCACTCCAGCATGGGCAACATAGCTAGAAGACTATGGTCTCTTTAAAAAAAGTTGAAACTGGCCAGGCACGGTGGCTCACATCTGTAATCCCAGCACTTGTGAGGCCAAGGCGGGCAGATCACCCAAGGTCAGGAGTTCGAGGCCAGCCTGGCCAATACGGTGAAATCCTGTCTCTACAAAAATTAATAATACAAAAATTAGCCAGGCGTGGTGGCGGGGCGCCTGTAATCCCAGCTACTTGGAAGGCTGAGGCAGGAAAATCGCCTGAACCCAGGAGACAAAGGTTGCAGTGAGCCGAGACCACACCATTGCACTTCAGCCTCAGCAACAACAGTGAAACTCCATCTCAAAAAAAAAAAAAAAAAAAAAGGTGAACCTTCAATGAGATGTCCTTTTTTTATACTGTTTTTGTGAAAGATAAAATTCAACAATATCTCTGCTCTTCAGGAGACTGCACACACAGTGATGACCCATCCTTGTTTTTACTACCTCATCAAAAGACCTAGTTTGTCCATCATGGTATTTCAGAGGACCACAGTTACAAAATGTAACACCCATGCAACTACGGTTAGTATACTGAGTGATTAAACTTGCAAAATACATTTGTTACTATTTTATTGTGTAAAGTGGTGTACTAGGCTGTTCCTGCATTGCTATGAAGGAATACTTAAAAGAAAAGAGATTTAATTGGCTTACAGTTCTGCAGGCTGTACAGGAGGCATAGTGGCACCTGCTTCCAGGAAGGCCTCAGGAAGCTTCCAATCATGGCAGAAGGCAAAGGGGGAACAGGCACATCACATGATGAGGACTGAGCAAGAGAGAGTGTGAGGTGCCACACTTTTAAAACAGCCAGATCTCGCGAGAAGTCGCTCACCGTCTCGAGGACAGCATCAAGGGGATGGTACTAAACCATTCATGAAAAATCCACCCACATAATCCAATCACCTCCTACCAGCCTCCACTTCCAATATTGGGGATTACAATTCAACATGAGATTTGGGCAGGGACACATATCCAAACTATATTAAGTGGCCTATGAAGTGTTGTCATGTTTTTGTTTCTCAAATAAATCCCCTTTAAAAAAGGTAAATAAGTGGTTTTTCTGTTTGTTTATTGAAGACAAAGTCTTGCTCTGTTGCCCAGACAGCGCCATCACAGCTCACTCCAACCTCTGCCTCCCAGACCCAAGAGATCCTCCCACCTCAGTCTCCCAAGTAGCTGGACTATAGGTGCACGCTAGCTTGCTAATTTTTGTATTTTTTTGTAGAGACAGGGTTTCTCCACGTTGCCCAGGCTGATCTTGAACTCCTGGGCTCAAGCAATCTGCCCACCTTGGCTTCCCAAAATACTGAGATTACAGGTGTGAGACTCTGTACCTGGCCAAACAAGTGTCTTTTTTTTTTTTTTTTTTTTTTTTTTTTTTGAGACAGAATCTCACTCTGTCACCCAGGTTGGAGTACAGTGGCATGATCTCAGCTCACTGCAACCTCCGCCTCCCATGTTCAAGTGATTCTCGTGCCTCAGCATCCCGAGTAGCGGGGACTACAGGCACTTGCAACCATGCCTAGATAATTTTTATATTTTTAGTAGAGACGGGGTTTTGCCATGTTGGCCAGGCTGGTCTCAAACTCCTGAGCTCAAGTGATCTGCCCACCTAGGCCTCTCAACATGCTGGGATTACAGGAGTGAGCCACCGCACCTGGCCCAAATAAGTATTTTTTAAATAATGTTTTAAAATTATTTTTTCCAGAATTATATTGTTTGGATTTCGATATTTTGGGATTTCAGTATTTGGGATTATGGCATCAAGAACTGTGTCTTTTAGGCCAGGCGCAGTGGCTCATGCCTGTAATCCCAGCACTTCGGGAGGCTGAGGTGGGCAGATCACCTGAGGTCGGGAGTTTGAGACCAGCCTGGCCAACGTGGCAAAACCCTGCCAAGGTGGGCAGATCACCTGAGGTCAGGAGTTCAAGACCAGCCTGGGCAACATGGCGAAACTCTGTCTCTACCTGTATTTTTTTTTGTAAAAATACAAAAAAATTAGCCGGGTGTGGTGGCACGCACCTATAATCCCAGCTACTTGGGAGGCTCAGGCAGGAGAATCACTTGAACCCAAGAGACAGAGGTTGCAGTGAGCCGAGCACCACTGCACTCCAGCCTGGGCGACAGAACGAAAGTCCATCTCAAAAAAAAAAAGAAAAAAATAAAAAAAAGAACTGTCTCTTTCAGAATTATGGCCTAAACCCGTCTGAAACAACTATTCAAGAAGTCTTTGGGAGAGCTAACACCTACAAACATAAACTTTGGTAATATTTTATAAAATATTCTTAAAAATCACCTTTATCCACACACAAGACAGTTTTAAAAGCTTTGGAGACTGAGTCCAGCTCTGTCGCCAGGCTGGAGTGCAGTGGCACATCTCGACTCACTGCAACCTCCACCTCCCAGGTTTAAGCGATTCTCCC